>NW_025791761.1:0-300000 GCF_000001405.40 Homo sapiens | reverse complement strand
TTTCACTTTTCTTAGTCTTTTCATATCTTTTATCTTACCAATATATGTATTTTTAATTGAGATAAAATTCACATAATGTAAAATTCACCATTTTAACGTATACAATTCAGTGTTTTTTAAAAAAGTATATTTACCATGTTGTATGATGTTACCACTATCTAATTCCAGAACATTTTCATCATCCCCAAAGAGAAATCTGATAACCAGTAAGCAGTTAACTCCCATTCCCCCTCTCCTTTCAGCTCCTGGCAACCAATATTCTGCTTTCTGATTCTATGGTCTTGCCTATTGTGGACATGCCACTTAATAGTATCACATAATATATGGCCTTTAGTGTCTGTCTTCTTTCACTTATCATAATGTTTTCAAGGTTCCTACATGTTGTGCATGTATTAGTACTATAAAATGTTTTTAAATCAGGCTCTGAATATTTGATTTTTCGGTATCCAGAGAAAAATTCTGCATTTATTATCTTTATTTTGATTTTAATACTGGCCTTTAATTTACCTTTTCACAAACCATTTATTGGATATAAAATGATATTGGATAATTTTTCAGTATGCATTATTTATTTATTTTTTTAGTATGCCAGTACTGAGGTTGATGGAGAGCGTTACATGACCCCAGAAGACTTTGTTCAGCGCTATCTTGGACTGTATAATGATCCAAATAGTAACCCAAAGATCGTGCAGCTCTTGGCAGGAGTAGCTGATCAAACCAAGGATGGGTAAGTATCTTCATGCATTTTCTGAAAACTAATGTTCTGGAATATATTGTTAAAAATTTAAAAAACCAGCTGGGCACAGTGGCTCATGCCTGTAATCCCAGCGCTTTGGAAGGCTGAGGCGGGCGGATCACCTGAGGTCGGGAGTTTGAGACCAGCCTGACCAACATGGAGAAACCCTGTCTCTACTAAAAATACAAAATTAGCTGGGCATGGTGGCCCATGCCTGTAATCCCCAGCTACTCGGGAGGCTGAGGGAGGAGAATCGCTTGAATCCGGGAGGTGGAGGTTGTGGTGCGCCGAGATCGAGCTGCTGCACTTCAGCCTGGGCAACCAGAGCGAAACTCTGTCTCAAAAAAAAAAAAAAAAAAAATTAAAAAACCCACAAACTTACCTACGGGTATCTAGAATTTTAATATTAGTAAACATGTAATTAGTAATTACCAAGTTGCTCATTAGTAATTAGAAAATATGTTTTTAAAATAAATATATTATTATTATATTTTGGGGATACATAAATCATTATGAAAAATGTATTCAGGCTGGGCGCGGTGGCTCACGCCTGTGATCCCAGCACTTTGGGAGGCCAAGTGGGTGGATCACGAGGTCAGGAGATTGAGACCATCCCGGCTAACATGGTGAAACCCCATCTCTACTAAAAAAAATACAAAAATTAGCCAGACACGGTGACGGGCGCCTGTAGTCCCAGCTACTTGGGAGCCTGAGATAGGAGAATGTCATGAACCCAGGAGGCAGAGCTTGCAGTGCGCCGAGATTGCGCCACTGCACTCTAGCCTGGGCAACAGAGCGAGGCTCCATCTCAGAAAAATGTATTTAAAAAAAATTTTGTTGTTTTTAAATCAAGGTGTAGCACTGCTGCATCAATATTAATCCAATGTTAAAAAACAGAGGAGCTGCAAAGAGCTAAGGCAATAAATACTGGCATCCTATATTTAAAGCATCTTGTAGGGTAGCTCTGTGACTTACGGGTTAGTGTAATGGTCTTAAAAAAGAGATTAGGCGCTCTCCCTCTCCCTCTCCCTCTCCCCACGGTCTCCCTCTCCCTCTCTTTCCATGGTCTCCCTCTGATGCCGAGCCAAAGCTGGACTGTACTGCTGCCATCTCGGCTCACTGCAACCTCCCTGCCTGATTCTCCTGCCTCAGCCTGCGATTGCAGGCGCACGCCGCCACACCTGACTGGTTTTCGTATTTTTTTGGTGGAGACGGGGTTTCGCTGTGTTGGCCGGGCTGGTCTCCAGCTCCTAACCGCGAGTGATCCGCCAGCCTCGGCCTCCCGAGGTGCTGGGATTGCAGACCGAGTCTGGTTCACTCAGTGCTCAATGGTGCCCAGGCTGGAGTGCAGTGGCGTGATCTCGGCTCGCTACAACCTCCACCTCCCAGCCGCCTGCCTTGGCCTCCCAAAGTGCCGAGATTGCAGCCTCTGCCCGGCCGCCACCCCGTCTGGGAAGTGAGGAGCGTCTCTGCCTGGCCGCCCATCGTCTGGGACGTGAGGAGCCCCTCTGCCTGGCTGCCCAGTCTGGAAAGTGAGGAGCGTCTCTGCCCGGCCGCCATCCCATCTAGGAAGTGAGGAGCGTCTCTGCCCGGCCGCCCATCGTCTGAGATGTGGGGAGCGCCTCTGCCCCACCGCCCCGTCTGGGATGTGAGGAGCGCCTCTGCCCAGCCGCGACCCCGTCTGGGAGGTGAGGAGCGTCTCTGCCCGGCCGCCCCATCAGAGAAGTGAGGAGACCCTCCGCCTGGCAACTGCCCCGTCTGAGAAGTGAGGAGCCCCTCCGCCCGGCAGCCGCCCCGTCTGGGAAGTGAGGAGCGTCTCCGCCCGGCAGCCACCCCGTCCGGGAGGGAGGTGGGGGTCAGCCCCCGCCAGGCCAGCCGCCCCGTCCGGGAGGGAGGTGGGGGGGGTCAGCCCCCCACCCGGCCAGCCGCCCCATCCGGGAGGTGAGGGGCGCCTCTGCCCGGCTGCCCCTACTGGGAAGTGAGGAGCCCCTCTGCACAGCCAGCCGCCCCGTTCGGGAGGGAGGTGGGGGGGTCAGCCCCCCGCCCAGCCAGCCGCCCCGTCCGGGAGGTGAGGGGCGCCTCTGCCCGGCCGCCCCTACTGGGAAGTGAGGAGCCCCTCTGGCCGGCCAGCCGCCCCGTCCAGGAGGGAGGTGGGGGGGTCAGCCCCCCGCCCGGCGAGCCGCCCCGTCTGGGAGGGAGGTGGGGGGGTCAGCCCCCGGCCCGGCCAGCCGCCCCGTCCGGGAGGGAGGTGGGGGGGTCAGCCCCCCGCCCGGCCAGCCCCCAACGTCCGGGAGGGAGGTGGGGGGGTCAGCCCCCCCCCCCCGGCCAGCCGCCCCTTCCGGGAGGGAGGTAGGGGGGTCAGCCCCCCGCCCGGCCAGCCGCCCCGTCCGGGAGGGAGGTGGGGGGGTCAGCCCCCCGCCCGGCCAGCCGCCCCGTCCGGGAGGGAGGTGGGGGGGTCAGCCCCCCGCCCGGCCAGCCGCCCCGTCCGGGAGGGAGGTGGGGGGGTCAGCCCCCCGCCCGGCCAGCCGCCCGGTTCGGGAGGTGAGGGGCGCCTCTGCCCGGCCGCCCCTACTGGGAAGTGAGGAGCCCCTCTGCCCGGCCAGCCACCCCGTCCGGGAGGGAGGTGGGGGGTCAGCCCCCTGCCCGGCCAGCCGCCCCGTCCGGGAGGTGAGGGGCGCCTCTGCCCGGCCGCCCCTACTGGGAAGTGAGGAGCCCCTCTGCCCGGCCACCACCCCGTCTGGGAGGTGTACCCAACAGCTCATTGAGAACGGGCCATGATGACAATGGCGGTTTTGTGGAATAGAAAGGGGGGAAAGGTGGGGAAAAGATTGAGAAATCGGATGGTTGCCGTGTCTGTGTAGAAAGAGGTAGACATGGGAGACTTTTCATTTTGTTCTGTACTAAGAAAAATTCTTATCCTGTTGATCTGTGACCTTACCCCCAACCCTGTGCTCTCTGAAACATGTGCTGTGTCCACTCAGGGTTAAATGGATTAAGGGCGGTGCAAGATGTGCTTTGTTAAACAGATGCTTGAAGGCAGCATGCTCGTTAAGAGTCATCACCACTCCCTAATCTCAAGTACCCAGGGACACAAACACTGCGGAAGGCCGCAGGGTCCTCTGCCTAGGAAAACCAGAGACCTTTGTTCACTTGTTTATCTGCTGACCTTCCCTCCACTATTGTCCTATGACCCTGCCAAATCCCCCTCTGCGAGAAACACCCAAGAATGATCAATTAAAAAAAAATTTTTTTTTGGAAAAATAATTGAAGCTTTATGTTGAAAAATATGAGGATGCCAGGCAAGTATTCCACTTTATAGGTCAAATTCTGAGCCAATAATTTTTAAACCACACTAACTGGAGATCCATGTTTTGTTTTGTTTTGGTCTACATTAAAAAAATATTTTATATATATGTATATAATATATATATTTTTTGAGATGGAGCCTTGCTCTGTTGGCCAGGCTGGAGTACAGTGGCATGATCTCAGCTCACTGCAACCTCCACCTCCTGGGTTCAAGTGATTCTCCTGCCTCAGTCTCCCAAGTAGCTGGGATTACAGATATGTGCCACCACACCTGGCTGATTTTTGTATTTTTAGGAGAGACAGGGTTTCACCATGTTGGCCAGGCTGATCTCGAACTCCTGACCTCAAGTGATCTGCCTGCCTCGGCCTCCCAAACTGCTGGGATTAGAGGTGTGAGCTACCATGCCCAGCCTTTAAAAATTGGTATATACTAGTTGTATAATTAAACTATATATTTTATTCAAAGTTTATAAAAATGGTGTTATTTACTGCTATTATCAAGGATACAGGCATTTCTTTTTTTCGAAAAAATATTTCACGGGAAAAGCCTCATTTTATGTTGAATAATCTGAGCAGAACGAGTTCCAAATAACCAAGTATATTTCTTCCATTCATTCAATAGGTATTGAGTGCCTGCTATGCCTCAGGTACTGTTCTTGGTGCTGGAATTATTAATATATCAGTGAAAAAGCCACAAAAAGATAATAAAAAAGTGAATTATGGTATGTTAGAAAGCTGTAAGTACTATGATGAAAAATAAATTAGGGGAGAGTTTAGGGAGTGATATTTATTAATTTATTTCTCTATTTATTTGGCAAACATTAATTGAACAGCCATTGTTTGTCAGGCACTGTTGGGCCTTACAAATACAAACATAAATTAAATGAGGCTTTTGGCCTTCAAAAGAAGGTAATAGCTTAGTGAGAAAGAAAATGACTAAACAAAGGAAAAAAGTAACACTTCTGAAATGAGGTGCTGTCATAGCTATATGAGAGGAATAGAGGGAACCCAAGAAAGCATGGTTAACTGTTTTGGGTGGTCAGGACAGCATCACAGAAGAGGTAATGCTTGAGTGAAATCTGGCAGGATGAGTACAAGCTTGTTAGTAGTTGGATAAGTAGGGACGAGAATTCCAGGAAAGGGAACAGGAACGGCATGAAACATTAAGGGGCGTGTGTGTGCGTGCGCATGTGCTCACATTAGTGAATGGCAATGGAGGAGGGTTGTGTTGCAAGTACTTTGATGTGGCTGTGGCATTGCTTTGTTGCTGGGGGAGATGTAGTTGGAGTGGCTGAAGGCTTTTGACTCTGTCTTGCAGGTATTTTTAGCCTGGTAGTGTATGGGTGTGTGAAAAGACAGAAATAACAAGGGGCATCTTGCTAGAGTGTCAGTTTACTCAACTCAGGGGAGAAAAGCAATCATTATTTGTATTAAAATCATATATGGCTGTATTATGGAGTGAATGTAATAGTTGCATGAATTAGATAAAGACAATTTTGGCTTGTTATGGCAGTTTCAGTCTACATCTCCAAGCCTCCAGGGCCTAGGCTCTTTCTCCTACCTGTTGAGGTGCTTGTGTGACAAACTTTGAGAAACTAGGCAGTAAGTAGTCTAAAAATTATTTCCATTACCACAGATGTAAACAGATTTTAGAAATGGTGGGTTGGAATGGGACAAGACTCGCATGCAATAGAATCAATTTAGGTAGCTATTGTAATAAAGTAGAAAGATTGGTGTCTAAGTTCTTTGAGTCCAGGATTAGTACTGTATTCAGTTTTATTGTCCCATAGAACCTTGCACAGTGTGTGAAATTTACTATGTGTTCAACAAATATTTGTTTTGGAAAGATTTTATATCATTTATAAATGGCAGGTATTGGGAAACTTGTATACCTTTTAGGTCTACTCTCTCAAAATATATCAACTGATAAATCACTGTGGATCATTCACTCATAGGATCTTTCAATAATGATTAGACAATAAAGCAAATGAAAATTAATTATACCTATCATAAGTCCTTCATCAGAATTATTAAAGGTAACATATATATTTAGCTCTTTTAGAAATTATCAGAGTATTTATTGTTAGTAATTTGGTCTAAGACCTGATTTCAGAATATCCATATATTTTCAAATGTTTCCTTTTATGACCATCTGCTCTATTCTATCTCAGTAGTGTATCTTCTTTGAAGCTTCATGTGGTTCTCCTAGGCTGAGTTGCATTGTTAAAGTAGGACATTTTCTTTTCTTTTTTTTTTTTTTGTCGGAGACGGAGTCTCACTCTGACACCCAGGCTGGAGTGCAGTGGTGTGATCTCAGCTCACTGCAACCACTGCCTTCCGGGTTCAAGTGATTCTCCTGCCTCAGCCTCCCAAGTAGCTAGGATTATAGGTGCATGCCACCATGCTTGGCTAATTTTTGTGTTTTTAGTAGAGATGAGGTTTCACCATTTGGCCAGGCTTGTTGTCTCGAACTCCTGACCTTGTGATCTGCCCGCCTCGGTCTCCCAAAGAGCTGGGATTGCAGGCATAAGCCACCGCACCTGGCCCATTTTTCTTCTTATAATCATCTTTTTAAAAAGATATTCTCTACTGGGCACAGTGGCTCACACCTGTAATCTCAGCACTTTGGGAGGCTGAGGCGGGAGGATCGCTTGAGGCCAGGAGTTTGAGACCAGCTTGGACAACATGGTGAAACCCCATCTCTACACAATTAAAGAAAAAAATTAGCCAGTTGTGATGGTGTGTGCCTATAGCCTTAGCTACTTGGGAGAGTGAGGCAGGAGGATTGTTTGAGCCCAAGTGTTTGTGGCTGCAGTGAGCTATAACTGAGCCACTGCACTCCAGCCTGAGGGGCAAAATGTGAGATTCTGTCTTAACGAAAAAGAAAAAAGATATTCTCTTTTCTCCCTCTATTTTCTACCCCTTAACCCAGGGCAGTGATGAAATATTAGAATAGCTTACTTGGTACGTTGTTTCCTGCCCCAAAATGTGTTCCTTGGTTCTATCATAGTTTTCTGATGATGAGTCCTATAGATATGTTATGTGAAATAGCAACATATAATATTGCTTATAACCACTCAAGACCAAGTCTGAATGAGTGGAGCTAGTATAGACAAGTTCAAGTGATTTGGTTAAGTGTGTGAGAAAAATTGGTCTAGGAGTGGTTGAAACACGCTCTTTTGTGCTCTGCAATCCTTCCCCCATGTTTTCCGGGATGTTAACTGTTCCTCTCTCTTGTTCCCCATCTCCTTTCCCCCAGTAGATAGTAAAATAAGTAGGAGTGTTTGGATATGGGTGCTTGCTGTAGAAAGCCATGTAACATACAAAACAGCATTATATA
Source organism: Homo sapiens (assembly GCF_000001405.40). Lineage (NCBI taxonomy): Eukaryota > Metazoa > Chordata > Mammalia > Primates > Hominidae > Homo > Homo sapiens. The sequence goes on along the minus strand of NW_025791761.1, from coordinate 292,618 downwards.
TTATAAATAGCACAATCAGTTGTCTAAAAGTAAAAGCCATTAGCCAAGTATTATTTGTGGGATTGTGGCTTAAACTTTGAAGTTCTGGTGTATAATGAAAAGCAAAATGATTTTATGCATTTAATGCAGATCTCAGAGACTATAATTGTGTGATCTAATCTAAAATATTTAGACTGTTGCTTACTTGAAATTGTAACTTCTAGAACCATAGTTTCTATATTCAGTCCTAGTCAGAATTTTATCTGGAGGTTCTGTTCTCCTGTGATGTAGAAAACTGGTGTTCTTTTCTTCTACTTTTTCCCCAAGTGTTTTCCTTTATGTTACACAGGCATATAGAGGAACCTTTTATGCAGAAATCTTGATTGTTTTACAAATTATAAAATTAACATTAATATTTTGTCATTTTATTAGTTCCTATTTACTAAATTAAAAAGGGGCTTCGTAGAAAATTTTTAAAAAACACACCAAATTCAGAAAATATATTTTTCAAAGTTATAAAATGAATACATGTTCTTTCTAAAAAGTCAGACAATGGGGTAATACGGTAAAGAGTGAAAGTACCTCCTTATCCCCATTACAAGGAAAACTAATAGAGTGTGAACTAATCAGTAGTTTCTTCACTCAACAGTTAGTAGCTTGTGGTTTGCATATATTCTATTAAAGTCTTGATTGGGCCCTTCTAGCAATAAAGGAATCCATGGCAGGATAAAGGGAAAAGGAGCCTTAAAAATATTCTGGAGCCAGGCATGGTGGTTCACACCTATGATCCCAGCACTTTGGGAGGCCAAGGCAGGAGGATCTCCTGAGGCTAGGAGTTCAAAACCAACCGGGGTAACATAGCAAAACCCCGTCTATACAAAAACATTTAAAAATTAACCGAGCATCCTGGTGCTTGTCTGTAGTCCCAGCTACTCAGGAGGCTGAGACAGGAGGATCACTTGAACCCAGGAGTTCTAGGTTACAGTGAGCTCTGATTGCACCATTGCTCTCCAGCTGGGAGACAGATTGAGACCTTGTTTCTTAAAATAAATAAATAAATAAAATTCTGGAACATGCTTGCTTTATGTTAGCATTGCAGACTATTTCTTGCTTTCAGAAAAATATTGTTGCATTATAATGCAGTAAGTATATAATGACTGTGGGCTTAAAATAGAGGAGAGTATCAGAGAGACTGTCAAGTGGCCTATTTTTCTCTCATTCCTCCCAACATTTTATTATGAAAATTTTCAAACATTCAAGAAAGTTGAAAGAATTTTATAGTGAACACCCATATATCTACCACCTAGACTACCACAGAGATTATATTATTATTATTATTTTATTATTTATTTTTATTTTTATTATTATTATTTTTGAGACAGGGTCCCACTCTGTTGCCCAGGCTGGAATGCAGTGGTGTGATCATGGCTTACTGCAGCCTCGACTTCCTGAGCTCAAATGATCCTCCCTACGTCAGCCTCCCAAATAGTTGGGACCACAGGCGCCTGCCTCATGCACAGCTAATTTTTATTTATTTTGGTATTTTTTGTAGAGATAGGGTCTTTCTATGTTGCTTAGGCTGGTCTTGAACTTTTGGGCTTAAGCAATCCTCCCCCTTTGGCCTTCCCAAGTGCTGGGATTACAGGTGTGAGCCACTGTACCTGGCCAGATTCTACTATTAACATCTGACTATTCTTGCTTTTTCATATATCCATCCATCCCTCTATCCTTCCATCAATCCATCTTTTTTTTAATACATTTCAGAGTAAAGTGCAGCCATTGATATAGTTCTTAAATATTTTAGCATGCCCATTATTTACTAGTGTTTTTTGTTTTGAGGGTTTTTTGTTGTTGTTGTTTGTTGTGAGACAGAGTGTGTCTCTGTTACTCAGGCTGGAGTGCAGTGGCCCGATCTCGGCTCACTGCAACCTCTACCTCGCGGGTTCAAGCAATTCTCATACTTCAGCCACCCAAATAGCTGGGATTACAGGCATGTGCCACTATGCCAGGCTAATTTTTTTTGTATTTTTAGTAGAGATGGGGTTTCACCATGTTGGCCAGGCTGGTCTCAAACTCCTGACCTCAAGTGATCCACTGACCTCAAGTGATCCACCCGCCTCAGCCTCCCGAAGTGCTGGGATTACAGGTGTGAGTGACCATGCCCAGCCTTTGAGTGTTTTTCTTTAAATGTAGGACTCGCACATAGTAAGAAAATGTAAATCTCAAAAGTGTATTTGCTGAGCTTTGACAAATGTATGCACCTAGGTAACCTCAAGTGACTTTTTTTATTGTGTTAAAATATACATAATATAACATTTACCATTTTAATCATTTTTAAGTGGACAGTTCAGTGGCTTTAAGTGCATTCACATTGTTAGGCAACCATTATCATATCCAAGGCCAGGCGCAGTGGCTCATGGCTGTAATCCGAGCACTTTGGGAGGCCTAGGTGGGCGGATCACCTGAGGTTAGGAGTTCAAAATCAGCCATGGCTAACATGGTGGAACCCCGTTTTTACTAAAAATACAAAAATTAGCCTGGTGTGGTGGCACGCACCTGTAATCCCAGCTACTCAGGAGGCTGAAGCAGGAGAATTGCTTGAATCCAGGAGGTGGAGGCGGAGGTTGCAGTGGGCCGAGATCATGCCATTGCACTCCAGCTGGGGCAACAAGAGCAAAACTCCGTCTCAAAAAAAAAAAATTGTTGTATCCATTTGCAGAACGTTTTTATCATTCCATACTGAAACCCCATACCAATTACATAATGACTCCCCATTCTCTTTCCTTCCACTCCAACCAGCCCCTGATAACCAGTACTCCACTTATTGCTACTATTTTAGCTATCTCACATAGGTGGAACAATATAATATTTGTCCTTTTGTGTCTGCCTTATTTCATTTAGCATAATGTTTTCAAGGCACATCTATATTACAGCATATGTCAGAATTTCATTCCTTTTTAAGGCTGAATAATGTACTCAGTTGATTTATTTTTTAGAGATAGAGTCTCACTCTGTCACCCAGGCTGAAATGCAGTGGCACAATCACAGCTCATTGCAGCCTCGAACTTGTGGGCTCAAGCGATCCTCTTGCCCTGGCCTCCTGAGTAGCTAGGACTACAGGCATGTGTCACCATAACAGGCTGATTTTTGACTAATTTTTAAGTTGTTGGTGCTTTTGTGTATTTTCATGATACATCTGAATATATATCTCGTGATATATCTGAATATATCTGAAGGTAACTGAGTATTGAGGGATGGCTGAGTATTACCCCAATAGCTTCTTATAATAGTGGTCTACTTACTAATGCCAGATACTCTTTCTGGTTTTCAACTATAGCTTTAAAATTGGGAAAGGGTTAGGAGATATACAGTAATGGAAGAACACCAAATTGAAGGCAGGAGTTAGGAGTCTTTAAGTAGACTCACTGATTTGCTGAATGTCTTTGAGGAAGATCACTTAACGTTTGCCTTTCTAAGGGTCCTTCTGGCTCCAAAGTTGCATGAATATATGATTTGTCTTTTTGAATATGCTGACAGACAAAATGTAGATATTTAGTAAATTCCATAGACTTTCTGTTTTAAACAAAGGGCTACTTAATTGGAAACCTATGTGACAAGAGTCTCAAATCCACAAGGACAGTGTGGTCTGTAGATAGATAACTGATGAGCCCTGTTTGGTTGCTTTTCTGAAGGAGAAAGACTGCTTGTCTTCAAGGGGCTGGTGCTACTTGGGACCGGAAACCTAGTGTTGTTCACACTTGCAGTTTATCAAAATAAACCAGAAAAACTGAGTATTTATGGGAAATCTTGTGATTTCTTAATGTCAACTAATGCAACTAAAAAACAGTACTTTGCATGCCAAAGAAAACACATCTTTGGACCAAATTCAGTCTGCCAGCTGATAGTTTGTGACCTTTGCTAGTTAAGGAAGAAGTTTTTGGCCTCTTCTCATAAATATAGAAGGTTTTACTACTGAGCATGAAATTTGTTTTAAAGCTACGTATTCTGTATTTCAGGGTAGGTGTATTTTTTATGTCTTGATGCTATTTTGTAGAAACCAATATGTTATGCCTTTTTAAAGAAAACCCATAATCAGCCTATTTTTATTTTTAAAATTATTGGTCAGTCTGTTTTTTTCTTCCTCAAACAGAAATTGCATGAAAAATACACTATAGAAAATCCTTGTATCAATTAACACATTTTGAAATATATAGAGTAATTAACATTGGACAATCAAGGAAAGATTAGTTTCCTAGGAAAATACTTCATTGAAGACCAGTCTGCAGATCTGTATGCATATGAGACACATTTTTATAATGCTGTTACTTGGACACTCATTACTAATGAGCAGCAAGATGGTATGGAATCTTTGTAGCAAGCTTGCTATGAAAGATCTAGTATATGCTGGCTTTGTAAGGTCACTGAAGGCAATTTCTGTGTAGTTTTGACCACTGGTTAATTTTATAACCTTGAGTATAATAGGACTCATTAAGTTCTAGAAACCCAACATATGAGTTTCCCCCACTTTTTGTTAAGTTTTGTTTTGTTTTGTTTTGAAATGGGTCTCACTTGGGTCTCACTCTGTTACCCAGGCTGGAGTGCAGTGGCTATTCACAGGCACCAGCATTGCATACTACAGCCTTGAACTCCTGGGCTCAAGTGATCCTCATGCCTCATCCTTTTGAGTAGCTGGGACTACAGGTTCATGACATTGCACCTGGCTCCCACCTTTTTTGTTTTGATTTTTCCTTTTAACATTTTTATTTAAAAAAAATTTTTTTTTAAACAGGGTCTGGCTCTGTTACCCAGGCTGGAGTACAGTGGCACAATCTTGGCTCACTGCAACCTCTGCCTCCTGGGCTTAAACTGTCCTCCCACTTCAGCCTCCCAAGTAGTTGGTACTACAGGTGCACACCACCACACCTGGCTAATTTTTGTATTTTTTGTAGAGATGGGGTTTCACCATATTGCCTAAGCTGCTCTTGAACTCCTGAGCTCAAGTGATCTGCCTGCCTCAGCCTCCCAAAGTGCTGGCATTACAGGCGTGAGCTACTGTGCCCTGCCTCTAAAAGTTTTATTTTAATTTAATTATTTATTGAGACAGAGTCTGGTCTGTCGCCCAGGCTGGAGTGCGGTAGCATGATCATGGCTTATTACAGCCTCTACTTCCTGGGCTCAAGCAATCCTCCCACCTCAGCCTCCTGAGTTGTTGGGATTACAGGTGTGTGCCACCATGCCCAGCTAATTTTTTATTTTTACTTTTTGTAGAGGTGGAGTCTCCCTATGTTGCCCAGGTTGGTCTTAAACTCCTGGACTCAAGCAATCCTCCTGCCTCAGCCTCCCAAAGTGCTGGGATTACAGATGTGAGCCACTGTGCCTGGCCAAAATTTTTATTAGTGATGTTTCAAACATGTATAACACAGAGAATAATGTAAATTCTATGAATTCATCACCTACTTTTAATCATTACCAAAATAATTATTTCGTTTATACCTCCATCTCTTCTCCATCCTCTGGATTATTTTGAAGCAAACTCTAGATGATGTATTTCATTTGTAAGTGTCTCACTGTGTATCTCTAAAAGATAATGCTTAACAACAACCAAAAAAACCTCCTAGAAACATTGATTTCTTAATATCATCAAGCATTTGTATTATATTGGTATTTCCATTTCCCGGATTATCTTGTAAATTAAAAAACTTTTTTTTTTTACTTTGTTTAAATTGGAATCCAAATAAGGATGTATATTGTGATTCATTGTTATATCTCTTAGGTCTTTTAAGATTGAGATTCCCTGTGCTTGCCTCAGCAGCACATATAATAAAATTGGAATGATACAGAGATTAGCATGGCCCCTTAAAAAAAAGAAGAATCCTCTTCATAGCTTCATTAAAAATTATTTTTCTGCAGCTATGGAATGTTTCTTCTGTCATTTCCTACAGTCTGCATTTATGTGGTGGTAGTGAACATGTTCCTTTGTTTGTTGTGTTTTCTGTAAATTAGTGAATAGTTCTAGAGCAGTGGTTCTCAATAGGGGTGATTTTGCTCACCAGGGTATATTTGGCAATGTCTGGAGACATTTTTGCTGGTCACAACTTGGGGATGCTATTGGCATCTAGTGGGTAGAGGCCAGGGATGCTGCTAAACATGCTACAAAGCACAGGAAACCCCCACAACAAAGAATTATCCAACTTAAAATGTCACCAGTACTGAGGTTGAGAAACTGATCCAGAGACTTGATCAGATTCAGGTTTAATTATATTTTGCCTGGTTCTCTCTCTTCATGATGTTAGGAGCTATTGATTATTGCCCAGTTTCATTGATTTTCTAGGGGCTTACAAAAGGGTGATATTCTAATTCTCCTTTCCTTCCTTATCTGAAGTACCTCTATAAAAACAAACTACCCTTTATCAATTATTTGGTTACCCTGAGCTACAGTTTATATAGTAAAGGCAGATTAAATGCCTGATGCTTTCCCTTTCTTCACCAGCCAATGACGTTTTATATTTTATTCCAGGTTGATCTCCTATCAAGAGTTTTTGGCATTTGAATCTGTTTTATGTGCTCCAGATTCCATGTTCATAGTGGCTTTCCAGTTGTTTGACAAGAGTGGAAATGGAGAGGTGACATTTGGTAAGGGAAAAAGAAGATTATAAGTGATAAGTTAATGATGCTGGTCCAGTCTTCAATTGCTGAATCTAGTAACTAATATAGATTACTGCTTATTTGGGATCTGACCCATAATTGAATTTCCTAAAAGGATTTATGCAGATAATGATGGCTTTATTTTTTCAAAGCATTAAACTGTTGCCAAAGATGAAGAAGTGTAGTAATGCTGTTGCTTTAGCTCATTGAGTCACTGACACTTTACATTCCTAAAATAAATGGTGTAAGATTTTCTTGTTCTGGGCCAGCCTGGGCAAAATTCCTTACAAGGTCGATTTTGAACAACATGAAACAATTTTCTCATTCTTTAAGTGATTTTTAGATAGGGAGTTCAGAGCTTCTCTTGTAGCATCCTTGGAAAATTGCTACTATGTCATTGTAACACCAAGAATGGAACCGAAGGAGGATATCAAGGCAAAATTAGTGTTCTCTGAACCTGAATTTTAGATTTCAGTTTTAGGAAAGAGGCTAGAATATTAAAATTGCCATCTGACATGAATGTAGAAATTTATTTAAATCCTCTAGTAGACACAAAATCTAACACACTGTTGATGTTTCACAGGTGTATACACTAGGATTTTTATTTGTAACCATATATTAAAGATACTTTTTTACAGAAATTAGTATATGTTTAGTAAAAGTATTGGCTAATTTTTCTTGCAACAATTTTTTCAATAAAAGCCATGTAGTAGTTCAAGGACCTTGAGCACTGCCCCCACCTTTTTAAAGATTGCCACTGTTTTTGTTGTGGCAAAAAACACAAGATAAAATTACTACTATCTTAATGATTTTAAATGTACAGTTTAGTAGTATTAAGTATATCCACAACGTTGTGAAAGACATCTCCAGAAATTTCTCATCTTGCAAAATTAAACTTAAGCCCCCTTTTATAGTGTGAATTGGCATGGATATTTGTAGAAACACCCTTGAAAATCAGGCTTTCCCTGAGCTATGGCATTAAACACTTATTCACTATTGTGTTTGAGTTATAAAATAGATGTCCTTTAGTTAAACTTGAAGGAAAAATTATCACTGCAATGGTCAAAGTGGTGAGAAAGTACAGGTCAGTCAATCAGAAGGATCAGTAGTGCCTTGGCTGTAATTTTGGTGGACACATTTTCTAGCGTGACATTGATTGTTTTCTTCTTCCTTCTGCCCATTGACTCAACTATCTTCTGTATGAGAAGACTTTCCAAAAAAATGCTATGCAGAGTTTTTTGTTTTGTTTTTTTTTGAGACGGAGTCTTGCTCTGTCGCCCAGACTGGATTGTAATGGCGTGATCTTGGCTCACGGCAACCCCTGCCTCCCGGGTTCAAGTGATTCTCCTGCCTCAGCCTCCCGAATAGCTGGGATTACAGGCATGCGCCACCATGCCCAGCTAATTTTTGTATTCTTAGTGGAGATGGGGTTTTACCATGTTGGCCAGGCTGGTCTCGAACAGTTGACCTCATGATCCGTCTGTCTCGGCCTCCCAAAGTGCTGGGATTACAGGCCTGAGCCACCGCGCCTGGCCTGCTATGCAGAGTTATTTAGATTTTTGCATATAAATCTTGGCATCCTCCTCCTTTGGAGCAAGCTTCGACCATCTTGCCTCCTGAAGAATGTTGACTTTCCTCAGAAACACCTAGATTCTGTAGTTTAAGGCACAAACCCTCCATCATCTCATTCAGCATTAACCATGCACTACTAGTAATGCTGCATTTTCTATTTTCAGTAGGTATCACACATGCTCACATATCTCACAAATGTGATGCAGAAATGCTTGGAAAATAACTGGATTCAGATGTCTGAGTTAGTGACAGTGCCCTGTGCTTATATCCTGTGTGCATTAAGAATTAGATCTCACAATCAAATTCTAATTTTTGTCCCTCTACCTTGATATCATGGTTCTTTGTGTCTCCTCCATTTAATTACTTTTCCCAGTTTCGATTATTATAAAATTAGTAACTCAAGCCACTTCATCCAACAGACTGTCAAGACCAACTTAACAATAAGACACATGCCATTGTTGATAAATAGATTAAAATGAGTGTAGGAAGTAGCTAAGTTTATATATGCCTTATTTAATGTAAATGAAAGCTTGTAGTCATTAGATCTCAACTTTAGTTTTTTTTTTTTGGAGGTGGAGCCTCACTCTGTCACCCAGGCTGGAGTGCAGTGGCGTGATCTTGGCTCACTGCAACCTCTGCCTCCTGGGTTCAAGCGATTCTTCTGCTTCAGCTTCCCGAGTACCTGGGATTACAGGCACCTGTCACCACGCCTCGCTAATTTTTGTATTTTTAGTAGAGACGGGGCTTCGCCCATGTTGGTCAGGCTGGCCAGTCTCAAACTCCTGACCTCAGGTAATCTGCCCACCTCGGCCTCCCAAAGTGCTGAGATTACAGGCGTGAGCCACTGCACCCAGCCAACTTTAGCTTTTTATAGGTCTTCTGTTTTTCTTTCAAACTATGATTTATGAATTAGAATTTTTAGAAATATAGTTAGGATTAAACACAAACCAGTTTTAGTTTTTACGGTACCAGGTATAAACTGAAGAACATATGAGCCCTCAAGAATCTTGCTTTCATTCTTTTCCTCCATAATCTAGAGACAGGAATATTATTATGGAATAAGAAAAAGATGAAGCCAGGTGCAGTGGCGCATACCTGTAGTCTCAACTCCCAAAGGAGTGATTTCAGCTCCTCGGGAGGCTGAAATGGGAGGATCTCTTGAGCCCAGAGTTTGAGGCCAGCTTGCACAACATAGTGATACCCAGTCTCTAAAAAATTTAAAACATTTTTTAAAAGCTGTACCCTGTTTCTGTTCTGGATTCCCTGGCTAGCTGGTTGGCTCTTTTGATGGTGCTCACCTATTTCCTAAGGACTTTGACCATTTCACCTTCTGTCCCTGCCTTCCTAGTTTTAAGGATCCACTTTGAGACAAATTTTCTTAAGTAGAATGAGAGAAATGATAAAAGAAAGTTTCCTTTCATATTTTTAAGAGGGAAAATATTGAAACTGTTGTAGCAAATGCCATTTAACAAGATTTCTAGGCACTGCTTATTTCAAGCCATATTCAAGACTACAGAATTTATGCATAAGGAAGTAATTAACTTCGAGTTTATTTTTATAGGATTTTGGATCTGGGGTAAAGGTCAGTTTTCATGTTTGTAACCACTTAATAAAATGAATTGTGCTTATGTATTTATAGGCACATGTTTAGGTAAAAGGAAATTTTAGATCCATTCTAAATAGAGTTAAATCCTTTTCACCAAATGGCCTTCTGTTTTCTAGTTTGGAGCTATTTATAGTTTTCTCTTGTGCACATGAGAGAAAGTTGGAAGACAATATTAGCTGCAATGTGTAAGGAAGTGGAGAAAACCTGTTATGCTATCAGCATCTCTTGTAGACTATGATGATAATGTTATCTGTGTACTTGTATATATTCTCATTTATGCTTTTTTTAGATATGATTTTATACACATCAAATTATATACTTAAACTGTGTGCATCTTTGCAAGTATTTATATAAGTAGTAATATTGAACATTTACTTGAGTGTTTATATAAGGTTTTTTGTTGTTAAAGATACCTCTGCTCTGGGGAGAGGACTTAGATTGAGGCCTTGGAAATCCATTTCAGAACGTGAAAACTCAGGAAAGGGTTCTGGAGTTTTTTTAAGAGTGAATAAAATATTAGTTAATTGTTTCCTCTTTGATGTTTCTTTAATAAAACTTCTAATGCATGCCGTGGATAATTACTTAATGGTTTGTATATCTGTTACTGTCAGGTGGCATGAGCCTTGTAGAGGCTATTGCATGACTGGTGTGTGCTAGCTACAGTGTAAGTTTGCCTTGGTCTCACCATTGTCCACAAGTGTACTGGAGATCCTGTTCAGTACTATTAGATTCAGGTAACCTAGATAAGCAGTTATACTACATTGTGTTGTCAGTAGCTGCCATGCATTTAAAATCCAAATTGAAAAAAAGGCCGGGAGCAGTGACTCATGTCTGTAATCCCAGCAGTTTGGGAGGCTGAGGTGGGCAGACTGCTTGAGCCCAGGAGTTCAAGACCAGCACGGGTGACATGGTGAAACCCCATCTCTACTAAAAACACAAAAATTAGCCGGGTGTGGTGGCACATGCCTGTAGTCCCAGCTACTCGGGAGGCTGAGGTAGGAGGATTACTTGAGCCTGGGAGGTGGAGGTTGCAATGAGTTGAGATTGTGCCATTACACTCTAGCCTGGGTAACCGGAGTGAAACCCTGTCTCAAATGAAAAAAAGGCCTATTGCCTTACTAAAGATTTAATCCTTTTTTTTTTTTTTTTTTAAGGGGCCAGGCGCAGTGGCTCACGCCTGTAATCCCAGCACTTTGGGAGGCCAAGGCAGGAGGATCACAAGGTCAGGAGTTTGAGACCAGCCTGGCCAACAGGGTGAAACCCTGTCTCTACTAAAAATACAAAAATTAGCCGGGCGTGGTGGGCACCTGTAATCCCAGTTACTTGGGAGGCTGAGGCAGGAGAATAGTTTGAAACCAGAAGGTGGAGGTTGCAGTGAGCTGAGATTGCGCCACTGCACTCCAGCCTGGGTGAAAGAGTGCAACTCCGTCTCCAAAAAAAAAAACAAACAAGAAAAAACCACAACAAACTGTTGTCTGTTAACTAACAAAATGAGTATGAAACATGTTATATGTTCTGAGTTCTCTATTAACATCAACATTGTGTTCCAAATTTGGTGTTTGCCTAGGAATGGACACTCTTCAAAGTAAACTTTTCCAAGGACACATCCTCACCCTCTGACTGAAGAAACCTCAAAAAGCAGAGATTCCTTTAAATGTAGTACTATGTTTGACCATTAATACATATAGCAAATAAAAATGTGTTCCATTTGTGCCTCTGAAATAGGCTGTTTTTCCCTGAAGGAGAGAATAAATTGGGATGGGTTAGGCACAACCACTGTTATTATTTTAAAGAGCCAGGAGATGGAAGTGTAGTTATGAAAAATGTACCCTTTCTCACTGGAAACAAAGCTATAGACATGCAATAATATGAAGTTCTATGGTGGCCAGGTGCAGTGGCTCACGCCTGTAATCCCAGCACTTTGGGAGGCCGAGGCGGGAGGATCACCTGAGGTCAGGAGTTCAAGACCAGCCTGGCTGGGCCGGGTGCAGTGGCTCATGCCTGTAATCCCAGCACTTTGGGAGGCCGAGGCGGGTGGATCACAAGATCAGGAGTTTGAGACCAGCCTGGCCAATATGGACCAGCCTGGCCAATATGGTGAAACCCCATCTCTACTAAAAATACAAACAAATTAGCCGGGCATGGTGGTGCATGCCTGTAATCCCAGCTACTTGGGAGGCTGAGGCAGAAGAATTGCTTGAACCCAGGAGGTGGAGGTTGCAGTGAGCCAAGATCAGGCCACTGCACTGCAGCCTGGGCGACAGAGCAAGACTCCATCTCAAAAAAAAAAAAAAAAAAAAAAAAAACAAAGACCAGCCTGGCCAACATGGTGAAACCCTGTCTCTAGCAAAAATACAAAAATTAGCCGGGCGTGGTGGCATGTGCCTGTAATCTCAGCTACTTGGGAGGCTGAGGCAGGAGAATTGCTTGAATCTGGGAGGCAGAGGCTATAGTGAGCCAAGATCATGCCACTGCATTCCAGCCTGGGTGACACAGTAAGACTCCATACCCCCACCCCCAAAAAAAGGGAATTCTATGGCGGCCAGGCATGGTGGCTCTTGCCTATAATCCCAGTACTTTGGGAGGCCGAGGCAGGAGGATCACTTGAGGCCAAGAGTTCAAGACCAGCCTGGGCAACATGGTGAAACCCTGTCTTTACTAAAAATACAAAAAAATTAGCCAGTTATGGTGGTATGCACCTGTAATCCCAGCTACTTGGGAGGCTGAGGTGGGATAATCTCTTGAACCTGGGAGGCAGAGGTTGCAGTGAGCCAAGATCACGCCACTGGGCCGGGCACGGTGGCTCACGCCTGTAATCTCAGCACTTTGGGAGGCCGAGGCGGGTGGATCACGAGGTCAGGAGATCGAGACCATCCTGGCTAATACGGTGAAACCCTGTCTCTACTAAAAATACAAAAAAATTAGCTGGGCATGGTGGCGGATGCCTGTAGTCCCAGCTACTTGGGAGGCTCACGAATGGCGTGAACCCGGGAGGCTGAGGTCAGTGAGCTGAGATTGTGCCACTGCACCACTCCAGCCTGGGCAACAGAGCAAAACTCCGTCTCAAAAAAAAAAAAAAAAAAAAGATCACACCACTGACTTCAGCCTGCGTGACAGACAAAGACTTTCATAAAAAGAAATGAAAATTCTATGATAATAAATATATAGCTTAATTTGGTAAGAAGTAGAGCTTCACCTGAGTATTCAAATTAAATCAGGAAGATTTTTTGATTTTTTTTTTTCTTGGTGTTGCTTTCGGATATTGCAGAGAAGTTTTTTGTTTTTTGCTTTTTTTTTTAGTACTCAAGGCTATTAGAGTAGCTTAAGAGTTCAAGGTGAAAGAAAAGGTGGAGTGTTATTAGTTTTTATGCTGTTTGATGATAGACTGTTGAAGTGTCTAGCTTCAATAATAATAGTATGTATGTATGTATGTATGTATTTATTTATTAATTTTGAGACACGGTCTTGCTGTGTCGCCCAGGGTGGAGTGCAGTGGTGTGATCTCGGCTCACTGCAACCTCCACCTCCTGGGTTCTAGTGATCCTTCTGCCTCAGCTTCCCTAGTAGCTGGACTACAGGCATGTGCCACCACGCCCAACTAATTTTTTCTATTTTTAGTAGAGACAGGGTTTTACCATGTTGGCCAGGCTGGTCTCAAACTTCTAACCTCAGGTGATCCACCTGCCTTGGCCTCCCAAAGTGCTGGGATTATAGGCGTGAGCCACCACGCCCAACCGATAGTCTTTAAATATGAACTCATCTTTCCTGAGAAATGGACCTTTACATATATTTGACAGCAGGACTACTCTATTGACTGTGCAGTAGTCCCTTCTAGAGGTAGGTAAAGGGCTAATAGAAATACTTTCTCTCAGAGAAACAGGAGGTCATTCAGGAAACTAATGACCATCTGAGAGGAGAACCCAGAAGTCTGGGACTGAGTCTACATGCCATGTTGGTTGGGACTTCCTCTACAAGTTCCTGTTGTTGGTCTTTTTGTTGTTGTTGTTTGTTTTCCTTTGTTTTCTTTTTTGGCTTCCCAGTTGTTCCTCCTCTTTCCTCCCAATTTTTCCTTCACTGAAAAACTCTTCACTTCTACAAGTCTCACCATTGTTTTTGTTCAGCTATGTACAAGGATATTCACCATTCATGGTGGGAGTCCTAAAAACCTCTCTGACTTCACTTTAAGAACTGTGCAGGTGAAATTCAGCTACTGAGGAACTTTTCCCCCTGACAATAAGAATGTTTGGTCTCAAGCCTATAAGTTGGTTGTAGTGGCTCCTGCTGGGCTGGAATCCTTGGAATAAGGATGTCGTTGGGCTGATGGTAGGTGGGCTGTGTCACAGGGCTGATGGCTTGTATACCTACAGGAGGAGTTCTCTGGCCACACCGTTGGTACAGCAGCTCCTTCCAGGCTCATTCATGGAACAGGCATGGTGGCAGTCTTGGAGAAGAGTGCCAGCCCCGGTCAGAGGTAATTTTGTACTGCAGAAAGGTGAACAAGACCAGTAGGAAGTGCCCATAAGAACCAGGGGAGGGATGAGGGTGGATGAGATGGGGAGACACAGTATGGGTTTCTGGGGAAATTAAAACCTCTGTTAAGACATATTTACATAATATATATGATTTAATGTGTATTTCATCTAGTCCAATCATCATAAGTGACTGATACAGCTAAACTGACTAATGTTACACATCTGTGAACATTTTTACTTAATCACAGTTGTCACCGTTACCTGCTCTCCTGACAAATCATTGTGCTCCTCTCCTTTGAGCAAAGAGAACATAATGACAGGCTACTTTTGTATTTAGCCCCAGTTCCCTTTTCAATGGAAGTATAAACCATCCCTTTCATAAGCCCATGCTCTGCAGGAAGTGAAAAAGTTGTCTTTTGTTTTCTATATGTCAGAAAACTAATGGATTCCTGGTTCTCTTAGCTATGCCAACCTAGTATAAAATACTATATCGTGATTTTGCTGCCAATAAGATGTGACTGTCATTTCCCTTTCTTCCAGGCCAGAACTATGCTACAGAAATAGCATTCTTAAACATGGCAAAAAAAAGATCCTTGTTTGCCACTGGAAAGATGGGATTCTCTCTGGGGGTGGGTGGAACTTGCTATACAGTTTCAGTTAGATGTATTTGGTATATTTGAGACTATTGGTGTTCCCTTTCATGTCACGCAGGACCTGATAAAGCTGGGTAACATAAAAACACCAGCTGTTTGAGTTATTACCTCATACAAGCATAAGCTCTCCAGTTCTGGAGCTTTTATATAATTTTATTTATCACATTCTGATAAAAGTAAAGTGGCAATTTATGAATTGGACTTGAAAACAATAGTTCTACTAATTATTTCTGTGTATCTGAATCAGTCTCAGGCACTTGGTAGTAGAAACAATGATAACAGAAGAGAAGTAGAATACATCTCCAGAAGTGCCAAAGTAGGTTTGTAATCTTATTAGTTCTAGTAATTATAGTAGTCCATGATGTGTCTTAAAAAAACCCTAAAAGTGTCAGAGTAAATAAACCACAGCATATAATAATGATCATAACAAAACCATATATAAAGCTGTCAAGTGACCACTTTGGGAGAAGTAGAAAATGTCCAAATACTCATGGAAAATGACACTTCTGTATTTGGGGAGATCACTATGACTAATTTAGACCATCATTTTAATTGTTTCAGAGACATTCTAAGATCTTATTTAGAGATGGCTAAGAAGTTTATGAAATAGGATATCTAAAGTTTTTATTACAGAGATATTTTCCAGATGTAAATTATACATTATAAATTTAGTTCATAAATATCCTTTTTGTGATAATAGAAACTTTTTTTTCGAGACAGAGCCTTGCTCTGTCACCCAGGCTGGAGTGCAGTGGCGCAATCTTGGCTCACTGCAACCTCCGCCTCCCGAGTTCAAGCAATTCTCCTGCCTCAGCCTCCTGAGTAGATGGGATTACAGGCATGTGCCACCATGCCTGGCTTATTTTTGTATTTTTAGTAGAGACGGAGTTTCACTATGGGGACCAGGTTGGTCTCTGACTCCTGACCTCGTGATCTGCCTGCCTTGGCCTCCCAAAGTGCTAGGATTACAGGTGTGAGCCACTGTGCCCAGCCAAAAAAATTTTTATAGATAATTGAATTTTCTTAGCTTGAACGCTTTTGCATTTTGGACTTTATTTTACATAGTTTCATATTTGAGATTCTGATATTTTCTTATTATATAAAAGGGATTCAATTTCATTCTACCATTATATAAGAATTATCTAGGTAGTAATATATACATTTATTATCAAATAATTATATTTTAACTCTTGAAATAACCTTTAAAAGGTTACCATGAAATAACTATTCCCTTTAATAATTGTAATGTTACTTAATTAAATATAGTAATTTGTTCTAATTTGCTTTCCATTTTTAATTTTTTTTAACTTGAAGATGAAACACTTCTTTTTGTTAGACCTTAAAAGTAAGAAATTAATTAATTTGGGACTAGAAACAGCTAATTAATTAAGTTAGATCCTAAAAATCTTTAATAATCTGCTACAATATTTGTAGCCCTAAATATTTTCTGCTATCTTTATTATTTTAATTGTTTTGTAAACTTTAACATATTTTACAACTTCGAAGTTTCACATAGATTTAAGGATCATCTTTTGTGTTGGTTAGAAACCAGGATCCCACAAATTGCTATTGGGTTAATTCTTTGCTTTTTAAATTTGTATTTATGTAAGGTGAAAACGCTTGACCTATTGAAAACTTTGAAGTATTTGTCCCTACTTAGGGAAGAAATGAATCCTGCATTCCATTTCAAAGAAAAGATGAGAATCCCATCTCCCCAGTGACATCCAATGCCTTCTTCCAACTTTGCTGATTGCTGCAATCTATTCAGAGCTATTATATTGACTCTAGACTGGTAGAACGTCCAGTTCAGAATTCTTACATTCCCCTATCCCAGTAGTAATGCTTTTATTAAGAAAAAGTGTATGTATATAAAACTAAAGGGAATCCATTAAACCATTTACAATATGAGATCAGTATCTTATTTAAAGAATTTGCAGAAATTAGAGAAAACAGCATAGTTGGAGATTATAAAACTTTAAATGTGTATTTACTAATTCTCTAGTATAACTGATAGCTATCGATGGCAAAACTCTTTCACTAATAAAATTGGCTGAAATTTGAAAATAATTTTGTTCTTAAGACATCAGTTAAACAGGCTTCCTGCTTTCTTAACTTTGTTCATGATTTTTTTTTTTTGGCATGAGCTTCTAAATTAGTTTATCCAGTCTATGCTTGTTAAAGTACCAGTCATTTGTGAATTGACTTTTATAGTAAGTATAGAACTCTGTAAGAATGTAAATAACGTTGTTAGTGCATGAAGACAAGCTGCCAGAGGGTTTTGGTTGTATGTTACACAGTGTGACTAGTTCCTATCTAAAAATTAGTGTACTGTATTTAGCTCTTTATTTAAAAGTGAAACACTAATTTAACTTATCTTAAAATATTTTAATAGTTCAGACTAATAATCATGGATTTTATGGGGATTTTGAAGCTTTGTGTCAAGACCATATTTTTAACAATATCAGAAGCTTTTAATAAGGTGCTTGCTGCTGAGCTAATGATATGCTTTTGATAGTTTTTCTTATACCTATCTTCAATAGACATATTCAGGCTAGTGTGAATGTAATAATCAAGCCTCAATCAAACCATACTTAGTATGACAAATATTGCATTATACTGTAATTTAGGTATTCATGCTTCTGATAAAGGGTTTAATTCGACTCCTTGAGAAACTGGGAAAACACTATTGATTTTATACGGGATGTAAAATAGCAGCCATTTATGATGTAAGATAGAAATCACTTTCTAATTAAAATTAAATAAAGAGAAATTAAGAATCTCATGGCCTTATATGCAATGGTACATATTCTTAAGTGTAAAATTATATTTTTTGTATCAGTTGTGTTCCTGCGCATGGTTTCTGGGCACACAAAAAAATTGCAGTTATTTTAATAGAAGCAGATGATATTGACTTTTAAAACTTCTCTTAATTTTTTTCTGTAGGAACATTGCAGTGGTTTAAACTACTTATTCCAGATATAATTGATTTATTTTTGTTTTCCCTTTTAAGAAAATGTCAAAGAAATTTTTGGACAGACTATTATTCATCATCATATCCCTTTTAACTGGGATTGTGAATTTATCCGACTGCATTTTGGGCATAACCGGAAGAAGCATCTTAACTACACAGAATTCACGCAGTTTCTCCAGGTGAGCTTAGTTTTCATAACAGGTATCAATATATACTATTCTTCTGTGTCCTTCGCTTTGTATTTATTAAGTTTATTACAAAAATAGAAGTTCTCCATGGTATTTCACTCCTATTTTTTAAATTTCCCCCTCGCCAGAGACAACTTCTTTAAACTCTTAATAGCTGTTTCTTTCAGTGTTTACTTCCATTTATTTAAATAGTAAAGCACTTCTACTTTTTTTCTACTTTTAAATACTTTTTAATTGTATCCTAACTATAGAAGATTAGAAGCTAGTTCTTTCACGACTGGGCGCAGTGGCTCACGCCTGTAATCCCAGCACTTTGGGAGGCCGAGGCGGGCAGATCACGAGGTCAGGAGATCCAGACCATCCTGGCTAACATGGTGAAACCCCATCTCTACTAAAATTAGCCGGGTGTGGTGGCGGGCGCCTGTAGTCCTAGCTACTTGGGAGGCTGAGGCAGGAGAATGGTGTGAACCTGGGAGGCGGAGCTTGCAGTGAGCTGGGATCACACCACTGCACTCCAGCCTTGGCGACAGAGTGAGACTCCATCTCAAAAAAAAAAAAAAAAAAGCTAGTTCTTTCACCTCTCTCCTCTCCCTCTTTATCACAGACTTGGACTTCTGTCCCCTTTCCCCCAATATAATTATGTCATGATTCTGCTTAGATCAGTAATCCTATGAGTTATTATAATTTTGTAAATACTATTGGTGGCTGAAGTTATTATATATTTTTTTGAGACAGAGTCTGGCTCTGTTGCTCAGGCTGGAGTGCAGTGGTGTGATCCTGGCTCACTGTAACCTCCACCTCTTGGTTCAAGCAATTCTCATGTCTCAGCCACTCAACTAGCTGGGATTACAGGAGTGTGCCACCACACCTGGCTAATTTTTGTATTCTTAGTAGAGGTGGGGTTTTGCCATGTTGGCCAGGCTGGTCTGAACTCCTGGCCTCAAGTGATCTGCCTGCCTTGACCACCCAAAGTGCTGGGATTACAGGAGTGAACCACTGCACCTGGCCTAAAGTTATTGTTCTTAGAGTTTCTAGTTTTCATTTGTTTAGTTTTCTGTGTACTAATACTAAGTCATTCTCAAACCTTGGCCCAATTATTAAGATCTCTTTTTAATGCGTTTAAAACACATTAGGTATTCTATTAATTTCATCTTCTTGGAGCTCTCCAGGAGCTTTCTTTTTTAAAAAAATTTGAGGTAAAATTTACATAAAATTAATCATTTAAAAGTGCACAATTTAGGCCAGGTGTGGTAGCTCACGCCTGTAATCCCAGCACTTTGGGAGGCTGAGGTGGGCAGATCACTTGAGATCAGGACTTTAAGACCAGCCTGGCCAACATGGCGAAACCTTGTCTCCACTAAAAATACAAAAATTAGCCAGGCGAGGTGGTGAGTGCCATAATCCCAGCTACTGGAGAGGCTGAGGCAGGAGAATCACTTGAACCCAGGAGGTGGAGGTTGCAGTGAGCTGAGATTGCATCGCTGCACTCCAGCCTGGGTGACAGAGCGAGACTCCATCTAAAAAATTAAAAATAAATAAAAGTGCACAATTGAGTGGCATTTAGTACGTTCACAGTGTCTTATATCTAGTTCCAAAACATTTTTATCATCCCAAAAAGAAACCGTGTTCCATTAAGCAGTCACTTTCTATTTCTGCTTTCCCCTGAGCTCTGGCAACTTCCAGCCTACTTTCTGTCTCTATGGATTTACCTATTATGGATATTTAATATAAATGGAATTGTACAATATGAACTTTTCTTTTTTTTGAGACAGAATTTCGCTCTTGTTATCCAGGCTGGTGTGCAATGGCGTGATCTCAGCTCACTGCAACCTCCACCTCCTGGATTCAAGCGATTCTCCTGCCTCAGCCTCCTGAGTAGCTGGGATTACAGGTGTGCGCCACTATGCCTGGCTAATTTTTTGTATTTTTAGTAGAGACAGGGTTTCACCATGTTGGCCAGGCTAGTCTCGAACTCCTGACCTCAGGTGATCCACCCACCTCAGCATCCCAAAGTGCTGGCATTATAGGTGTGAGCCACCACGCCTGGCCAAACAATATGAACTTTTGCATCTGTTTTTTTTTTTTTCCACTTAGCATAATGTTTTTAAGAATTATCCATGTCATAGCATGTATCAGTGCTTTATTCCTTTTTTGTGGCTGAATACTATTCCATTGTATAATATAGTATAAATATGTTATATTTTGTCTATCCATTCATCAGCTGATGGACCTTTGAGTTGTTCCCACCTTATGGTTATTGTGAATAGTGCTGCTATGAACATATGTATACAAATATTTGTTTGAATACCTGTTTTCAGTTCTTTTGGCTATATACATAGGAGTGTAATTTCTGGGTCATATGGTAATTCTGTTTAACTTTTTGAGAAACCACCTGACTGTTTTCCACAGCAGCTGCACCATTTTCCTGTTGTTTCCTCACCTGCTTCAGGGCCAGAAGCCAGACTGTGTAAGCTCACTGCATAGGAGTCATTCTGTGATCACCCTTCACTTTTACCTTGGAGAATCCATTTGCTGTTCTGTTACGTTGAACCTCCTGTTTGCTGCATTTTATCTCTTCTTTTATTGCGGTTTACCTATTTTTGGTAGAATACTTCCTGCAATGGCTTCTTGAGGAAAGTGGAATAAAATTTTTTTGAGACTTTTCATATGTAAAAACCTCTTGTTCCGGCTGAGGGCAGTGGCTCACACCTGTAATCCTAGCACTTTGGGAGGCCAAGGTGGGGAGATCACTTGAGTCCAGGAGTTCGAGACCAGCCTGGGCAACATGGCAAAATGCCATCTTTACAAAAAATACAAAAACTAGCCAGGTGTGGTGGCACACGACTATAGTCCCAGCTACTCAGGAGGTGAGGTGGGAGAATCACTTGAGCCCAGGGAGGTAGAAGCTGCAGTAAACCATGATCCCACCACTGCACTCCAGCGTGGGTGACCGAGTGAGCCCTGTCTCAAAAAACAAACAGTCTGGGTGTTTTGGCTCACGCCTGTAATCCCAGCACTTTGGGGGGCCAAGGCGGGCTGATCACTTGAGGTCAGGAGTTCAAGATCAGCCTGGCCAACATGGTGAAACCCTGTCTCTACTAAAAGTGCAAAAATTAGCCAGGTGTGGTGGCAGGCACCTGTAATCCCAGCTACTTGGGAGGCTGAGGCAGGAGAATCTCTTGAGCCTGGGAGGCAGAAGTTGCAGTAAGCCAAGGACAGGCCACTGCACTCCAGCCTGGGCGACAGAGCGAGACTCCATCTCAAAACAAACTAACAAACAAACAAACAAATCCCTCTTGTTCCACCATTATGCTAAGATAGTTTGGCTGGTTATTGAATTCTAGTAGGAGTTTATTTTCCTTATAATTTTGAAAGCATTGCTCTTTTGTTTTCTAGTTTCCAGTGTTGCCACAGTGCCATTCTCATTCTTAATTTAATCTTGAAACTTTTTCCACTCTGACTCGGGAGTGTTTTAATATTTTTTCTTTTCTTTGGTGTTTATGAAATTTCACGATGGTATTCCTTGGTGTGAGTTTATTTTTATTCATTGGTCTGGGCTCTTCATTCATTGGGCTTTTCTAATCTGGAAACTTACGTCCTTCAATTCTTGAAAATTTTATTACTTTTCTTATTCTATTTTCTTAGTTTCTAGGACTATTAAATGTTACATTTATGACCTTTTAGTCTTCTTTTCTCTCCTATTTTCCTTCTGAGCCTTCTATTTTCTATTTCTGCTGTATTTCTAATTTTCAGGAACTCTTTTTGGTTTTCTGAATATTCCTTTTAAAAAATAGCATACTGTTCTTGTTTCATGGATGCACTCTTTTCTTTCACTTCTTCAAAGATATTGAAGACAGGTTTCTTTGTTGTTTTTTTAAAGTTTTCTTCTTGCATAGTGTCTGCTTTCTCCACATTTATTTATTTATTTTTACTCTTTGTTTGGGTCTCTGTTTTTCTTTTTCTCTTTTTTTTTTGAGTCAGGGTCTTACCTTGTCCCCCAGGCTGGAGTGCAGTGACAGGATCATGGCTCACTGTAGCCTTGACTTCCCCAGGTTCCAGGGATCCTTTCACCTCGGCCTCCTGAATAGCTGGTACTACAGGCGTGTGCCACCATGCCTGCCTAATTTTTTGTATTTTTTGTAGAGATGGGGTTTTGCCATGTTGCCTAGGCTAGGTCTTTTATTTCGGATTAGGGAATCAGGGAAAAATTGTCTAGTCTCCAATCTGGAATATTAGATCTGGCTTTTGATGTTTTGGTTGCTGAGTAATAAGTAGTTGGAGGTCTCAGTGTTCAATTTTGCAGAAGGACTTTCAGTTTACTACCTTTTTTCACTGTAGTATTCTCCCTCTCAACTGTGTGTGGTCTATGCTGGTTCAGAGATCCTCTGTTAAACTCCTCAGACAGTAGACCTCTAGTCTTCTGCCAAGGTTGGGAAAGGGTGGAGGCCTTATTTGGAGTAAGGCAGGGGTAACTAACTGCTTCTTAAACAGATATCCAGCTAAGCCCCTTGTTTTCAGCTCCACCTTCACCATCACTTCCAGAGGTACCAATGCAGCTAATAATTGAATCTTTTGGGGGTCCTGTCATGTACATTGGCTTCCTTTTTGGCTTTTTCTGCTTAGTTTTTTTGAGTCCATTAAGTCAGTTGTCATTTGCTTTTCTGCTTTCTGATCTTAAAAATATAGTTGCCATCTTCTCCTTTTCTGTTGTCTTTGTCCTTGCGTTTCTGTTTTGTTTTGTTTTGTTCTTTTATTGTTATTTTAGTGGAGAGTGGCATTTTGGAAGACGGTGGAGTTAAATGTACAAGTTCACTCTCATCCAGTCACACTGTTTCTGAAGCTCTGCTAATTTTCATCTCATAATTAGATGAAATGCATTTTCAAGGGCATAGGATCTTTCCCTTCAGCATAACTGCCTTTCTTTATCTTTCCTTTAGTTCTCCTATCCACCTACCTACCTACCTACCTTTTTAACCCAAGATTTATTTATTTTACCTTTTATAAGCCCACAGTATTGTTTTTCTTCATTAGGATGAGCACAGATTTGAAACTATGGGCTTTAGGTGTGGGTATTTGGAGGTGCCAGTGTTTGTTCTAACTCTTTTCCCTGTTAGTGCTTATCTAACTCACCTTATAAAATTCTCAAACTTGAAAAGTTGAAAATATATGCATTTGAGAGCTGACTTTTTTAAAAAAGGAAATGTCTGCCTGATTAGTGTTTAAGATTCTTCCAAAGATTACTTTCTCTCTTTCTCTCACTGTTTTCCTTGCATTTACAGAGTCTATTTTACAATATCTATTGTACCCTGATGTTTTAATTATACTGTATAAACTGAGAGCCGCATATATGTAACTTCTTTTTTTCTGTGTTTAACTTCTCATTTTTAAGTCATTAATTTTATTTTTTAAAATCTTTTTTATTTTGGAAGACTTCAAATATACTCAAAAGTAGAGAGAATAGTGTAATGAACCTCCTGGACCTATAACCAGCTTCAATAATTACCACTTCTTGGCCAATCTTTTTTATCTATACCCTCCACCCTGCCTCCTGCAGGATCATTTGGAAGCCAGATGCACATACTCTATGATTTTTTCATCTGTGATCCTTCAAATACGTATCTTTAAAAGACAAATAAGAGTCCTTTAACTGTTGACCTTATAGAAAACAGACAATCTATTCTACTAACACTACTCCTTCAGTGAGCATTCTGCTTCATCTTGAAGGTAAAGGTCCACATCTTCTTTAGTACTGAGTGTTATTAATAAGGCTAAATTGTACCCATGGCTACCATTTGATATTTCTGGGTGATTAAGACATATAGGGAAGACAAAGACATAAGAAAGAGATAGAAAAGAGGTAGAAGGAAAGAAAAAGATATAAGACAGGGAGTGAACCTGTGTCTACTTTTGATGCTATTTAGGAATATCTTTGCCATGGGGACCAATTTCAAATCCATGTAATGATGTAGATGGATTGAAAATTCCCACTTCATTTGAAGGGTGAAGTGGTTGGAGCTGAGGTCATGGGAAAATGGAGTGAGTTATCACAAGTCCATAGGAAAATATAATTAAATAAAAATGATGAGACTTCTATAAAAACTACTTTTAATGTCATGAAAAGTTAAAGCAACATTAATTTGTAGTCTTTGATAAGTAAATGTGAATGAAAATTATGTAATCTTTAAATAATATGTATATACTTAGATATGACTATTATTTACAGAGTTGCAAAGAGTGTGACGGTGGCATCCAATAGCAGCACCATTGTTATGTTTGCTAACAGGTTTTTTGCATTTAGTCATGGATCCCCACAACAGAAATGCTCTGATTTTGACTTTTGTATAGTACACAGGGGATTGCTGGAACATTTTGTTGTTTTTGTGGATATCACTTATTACAAAGTTTGGTTGCCCAATAGTTCAAAAGTTCAGAGATATTCTGGACTGTCTTACAGTTTATGAGTAACGGTGCCCAGAGCCAGTGATAGCTGAACACTACTTTTGCAGTTTGTTATTCCTGACTTTCATTTTAGAATGACTGAATATTGCACTTACCAGTTGGTAGAGTTTCTCACTGAGTTTATTTGAAAAATTTGTTTGAAAAAATGGTCTCTAATTCATTTATAGAATGACAGAGAGAGAGACTTTGATTGCAACATTTAAAATTGAAAAACTGAAAATGAATCTAAACTCTTAATTCATGAAGTACTCTTTGATGACAGGTAAGCCTTCAAGCAGGAGAGATAAATTACTGTATATTTTAAAGGCTGAAATGAAGCACCAAAAACATTATTCTCTGTTTTCAGTAATGAAAACTTGTCAAGTAAAATCTAAGGGTTATTTTTTCCTACCTTTCCTTTATTGATGTGCTCTCATTCATTCTTTTTCCTGAGGAGTAATATGTAGTACATTTTTAAGAAAGCTCATGCTTTTTGAAAGAAATTAAAAGTTTTGTTGCAAATTCAGATCTGTGCATTGTTTGTTTTGTAGTAAGTACATGTGTGGGAAGGATATCTGTCCTTCCTTCCTTTCCAAACCATGTACTTGGAATGTGTTTAACCAGCTTAATGCCCTATTTCTAATTTCCTCACAGGAGCTGCAATTGGAACATGCAAGACAAGCCTTTGCACTCAAAGACAAAAGCAAAAGTGGCATGATTTCTGGTCTGGATTTCAGTGACATCATGGTTACCATTAGATCTCACATGCTTACTCCTTTTGTGGAGGAGAACTTAGTTTCAGTAAGTAAAAAGCAAGTTCTTTAACTTTCTATTTCCTCAAACCTTTTGATCCATTGAGTCCTGGATTGCCTCCAGGGACTCATATGACTCTCAACTATTCAAATTTCATGCTTGGTTGGTAGAAAGTAAACAGGTTTGTGTGTGTGTGTGTGTGTGTGTGCATGTGTGTGTGTGTACGTGAATGTATGTATGTGTGTGTGTAATGGAGGTAGAGGTGATGGTGAGTTATCTTTTCCCGGATCATAGTTTTATTCAGAGCCACCATCTTGCTGTCATCTATTTCCAAATTGTTTATTTCCATTTACAGAGTCCAGTTCAAGGGAAACAAGAGTTTATAGACAAGGGTGAGCAATTACTTTTTCCAGTGGGCAGTAACTCTCCCAGACACTACTGCCTTCATCTTGGCCTCTTTCCACACCACCGGGCTCCCAAGGTCTTGCTATAAAGATGGCTCCTTCCTTTGTTGCCTTCAGGGTGCTGTCTGCCGGAGGGATCATCACTGGCTTCTGCAGTGTTTTAATAACCATGCCCATGGCAGAAGGTATGGAGGAAATATGTGGCCATCAGCCTCTGTGGCTCACTCCTCTCTCTGCCCCTTCACCTGTACATTCAGTCTGTATGCACCAGACATAGTTTTTTGTTCTGTCAAACTGCTAATCTCTATAAAGTAATCATCTGGACCAATAGCAAACTCATGTCATCCACTTCCTCACATAGAGTGGTGAAACTTTCCTCACTTACCCGTTTTCTTGTCTATGCGTTGTACTTATGTATAAGTTTTTGATTACTGCTTGTTTTGAATGGAGGGAAGCCAATGAGTGCCTTTGTTGTTTCAGCTGAAGATCATTATCCCTGATTTAGACTGGGGTAGAAAGATCAACTTCTGTTCTTTTTCTTCAGTGAATCTGAACATGGACCATGTCACTTTCTCCTACACGTTTCACCTCCTTGACACCATCCCCCACTCCCCTGCCCTCACCTCATACCCCAACCAAAAAAATGAAAGAAGGAAGGAAAGAAAGGGATAAAGGGAGAGAGAAAGAGAGAAAGGGAGGGAAGGAGAGAGAAGGGAAGAGAACCCTAGAGGGAGGGGCTCAGTACCTTAGTGGGAAGGGACTCATTTAATCTTTTCCAACTAGGTTAGATAGACCTACTATAATAGCCTCAATTTTTTGAGGCTCAATTTTTTATAGTTTACCAAAAGTCAATTCTAATCCTCAGAGGAGTATATGAAAATTTGAGTCCAGCTTTTTGGGTTGCTGGTATCCAAATTCAGGCTAACACAAATATAAACTGTATTTAGGTTAAGGCATGTGTGTGAGGGGTGGTGGGGTGGGATATATTTGCTCATCATTACCTACACTATTTGTAATAGACCTTTATGATTAAAATTGTTACATTGATATTTACATAAGCATTTCTTTGCATTTTTAAAGGAGAATGTTTTCAATCATATGGGTTCCTCTGACTTCTGGCTTGGAAATGAGGCTTTTGCAAACTATGCAAAATATTCTCTTTTGAGTTTATGTCCAAGTGGTGAGCAGAGAACAAATTACGTCTTCATCCTGCAGAGGTAATGAAGGCCACGTTGCCCGCCATCTCAGGCATGAGGGAGCCTCTTTTGCACTATTCCATTGAAGACATAACTCAATAGTGAATAAATTCTCTCCAGATTTTCTACATTTTTTGGAGTTTTTGATAATTGTACCCTTCATGATCCGAATTTAGAGTTTAGCACAGACTGTTAAGTATTTTAATTATAACAGTGGCCTTAAAAATTAGGAAAAGTTGATGTAATAAAATTGTCTTAAAATTTAAAGTCATCAGTTGGTTTTTGTGTATGTGTGTGAAGGAAAAAAACAAGGTTAAAAAGTGTTCCATAGATTGTACAGTGATTTTGTTTATCCAGGACTAGCAAGAGTTTCACAGTTGAGGGTCTTGAAGATCCTGTTTAAATAACTATTGTTTTGATCTGTGATAATTATATTTGTTGTTTTTGACCTTATAGGTAGATGAACCATGAAGTCCAACTTCCAGATGTTACTTTCTTCCTTAAAACCTAAATTACATAGACTTCCCTGAGGGCATGCAGTGCACTGTTTCAGTGTGATACTTTCCTTGTATTTATGTACTGGTTGTTAACATCATTTTAACAGTGAAGACTCCTTTGGATCCTCTTTGAGAAAAGTACAGTGTCCATAAACGTGTTTTTGTTTTTGTTTGTTTTTTAAACTTTTTGTGTTGTCATTTTCTAGGCAGCTGGAGGAAGTATCTCACACCAGGTTAGCTTCTCCTACTTCAATGCATTTAACTCGTTACTGAATAACATGGAGCTTGTTCGTAAGATATATAGCACTCTAGCTGGCACAAGGAAAGATGTTGAAGTCACAAAGGGTAAGATTTTAAAATATACATAAATAAGAATCTCAGCATTTTCACTTTTCTTCACTGAGGCATGATGTTGATCTAAGCTTACCACTCTAAAGCCAGATCTAGAAAGTATGTTACCATGTGTATGTATGCTTTACTTGGGCTCCAAAAATCCAGGTGGATTTAATGTGATACTGAGGTCAGGAATGGAAAAGTGGCTTTGACAGTTTTGAAAAGAACCTTGACCCAATCTGTCAAACAGGTCAGTGGCAGTGTGGCAGCAGCTTGTTTGTACTAGGAAGGAGTTGCCACAGAAAGATGAGCAAGCCTACTCCTTTTGGTGAGTGGTATTAGGATGTTTTGAATGACTGGAGAACACCCACTTTTTTTGTATTATAACTCTGGAGAACAAAGTGAATAAGCAAGATAAGAGGAGATTCTAAAGAGATTGTTTTATTCTTGAAGTTAATTCATCTGTTTTGCTGTTTTATCATCTTAACATTTTATCTTTTACCAGCCTTCAGAAATGCATATTCTTGTATAGTTGAACTTAAATATTTAAATTCAATTTTAGATTTTAAAAATGATACTAAAATGCCTATAGCTTTCAGGTTATATTATAGTTGGTGAAGGTAGAACTTTGTTATATATTAAGAATCATTCAAGATTTTAACTTTTTTTTTCTCTGTTCCAGAGGAATTTGCCCAGAGTGCCATACGCTATGGACAAGTCACACCACTAGAAATTGATATTCTATATCAGCTTGCAGACTTATATAATGCTTCAGGGTAAGTATTTCAATAATTCTTCATGATATTTATTATAGAGTAGTTCTAAAATGTGAAGCAGTGGTGTCCTTTTAGTTCATTCTAACATGAGTTTTTTCCATGTATTTGAATAGTTTATATTCAGAATATAAATTCCAAGAAAGACAAGCAGATGTAACAAAGGAGAGGAAAGAAACACAGGAAGACAGACAGAGGGAGAAGAAGATGGAGGGAGGGGAAAGGAGAGAACAAGGGAGAGAAGAAAGAAAGGGAAGGAAAGGGGAGGGAAGAGAAGGCGGGAGTGAGGTGAGATAGGAATAAGGGGTTGAGATGCATGAGAGAGTGAAATGGGAGAAGAAAGCAATCTGACAGAGAAGAGAAGGGTTGTGATAGGGTTCATAAAGTGGGAAAGAGGCTGGGCCCAGTGGCTCACGCCTGTAATCCCAGCACTTTGGGAGGCCAAGGTGGGTAGATCATCTGAGGTCAAAAGTTTGAGACCAGCCTGGCCTGTGACCAGTCGGAGACTGAAGTGAAGGCTCCCTGTGTCCAGACCCTGTGTTTCTTTCTTCTCCTCTGTTACATCTGCTTGTCTTTTTCTCTTGGAATTTATATTCTAAACTATTCAAATAGACTGTTCTTCTGCCTCATTTCCCCCTGAGAGACGTGATCTTCATAAATCTTTATGGGAGGCAGAGGGACCAATAGTCTTTCTTCTGTAACTACTTCATGCTGATTGGGGCACAGTCCCTACCTATTGGGGACCATGGAACTCTAGCACTGCTCTGTCTAGTGGAGATAGGGTGACTTCTTGATGGCCAGGGCAGGCATCATCATCTGGAACTGGAAGCCCTGCTGCATGATCATTTGAAGCTTAATCGTCTCTAGGTGAGAAGAAATAATCTGGTAAAAAGATGAACAAACATGGTCCAAAAAGTCAATGCAAGTATAATTATTAACAATGGGCTGGCCAAGGGAAGGAGCCATGAAGCCCAGCTTGGTGCCCTTGACCAGGAGCCCTATGATGTGGACAGCTGTTGTTATATTTTAGAAGTCCTGTCAGCTAATTTTCGAGTGGCATCCCTACTAATCCTGATTGGTTGATATAAAAACAACATTCTTATAGGAAAAGACATAAGCCATCTTTTTGAGCAGTTAGGAGATCCAGTCTCCTTCTATTTTGTACAGTGACTGCTGCCAAGGAGTCTGTTTGATTTTGTAAGGTGACAATACTTTGGGCAGTGTCTTCCAAGCTGTCTGGAAGATCCTTGGATGAGCATTGGTAATAGGATAGGGAAGTTGGAAGCCTGCTAACTCCTATTGCTATTCCTGCAGTTATTCCTAGCCCTACCAAAAGGGGTATGAGTTGGATGGCTCATTTGTGCTTGGTAGTTGCAGTTAGAGGTATAATGAGAGACTGGTTATTGGGAGCTATGTTGATTTTAAGGGGGTAAATATACAAGTGTACAGCTTCCAATCCAGTTGGCTGATAAACATAAGTACAACTAGTTCCACACAGGAGAAAGGATCTTTGTTTTTTAAGACAAAAATTGTTGTCTATGGTGAACATATGGGTTAGTTTGTTGTTTTCATTTTCCCAAGTGATTAAGGTCCCTGCTAAGGTGGCCCTGGTTAAAGGCTGGAAAGGACCTTGGGAAGTATCCTGAGTTGCCCCAGCAGCATTTTTCCAGTGGAGGTAGTTGCACTTAGTGTCCACCAGCAACCACCTAGAGGTATTTTCATACTGGGGAACCAAAAGACAACTAGATGTCTCAGGATTAGTATGGTTTTTCCCAAGGGAAAATATGAACACAGCTACTGGGCCTATCTTGGCAGTACTTAGACTGTGTATCCTTTAAAGTGCCTTGAACTAGGAATGGTTTCCTTGAAACCATACAGGTTTACCAAATGATGCAGTCTGGGCAACTGCATAGCTTACATGATCATGTGAAGGGTTAATCTCTAGGGTGTAGCTCTTAAGCCAATTAATTAGAGCTCCTTTATATAACATCACACACACAACACTTGTAGACAGGGGAAGATCTAGCTGTTGTTACGTTTTTCTTTCCCTTTAATTTTTTTTTTTTTGAGACAGAGTCTTGCTCTGTTGCCCAGGCTGGAGTACAGTGGCATGATCTCAGCCCACTGCAACCTCCGCCTCCTGGGTTCAAGCGATTCTTGTGCCTCAGCCTCCCGAGTAGCTGGGACTACAGGTGCGTACCACTATGCCTGCCTAATTTTTGTATTTTTAGTAGCGACAGCCATGTTGGCCAGGCTGGTCTCAAACTTTTGACCTCAGATGATCTACCCACCTTGGCCTCCCAAAGTGCTGGGATTACAGGCGTGAGCCACTGGGCCCAGCCTCTTTCCCACTTTATGAACCCTATCACAACTTCCACAGACCATCTATGACGTGCTTAGATTTTCTGACTTGTCCTGTATTTCCCTGTTTCCTAAGTAATTAAGCATTCTACTTTAGGACAAGAATTTGCCATACAAGATTCTTTCTCATATAAAATTTCTTTTCTTCATAACCTTCCTTATCATAAATACATCTTCATAGCTATAACTTTCTTTATATCTCTCTTTCCTACTAAAGTAATTTCTGATGCCTCCAAAAGTCAAAAAGGTCAGGTAATGTGATGCAAAACTGAGCAGAGCCTTAGATTTTGAGAGGGACCTGTCTGCCTACAGTTCTTGGGGTTCCATGAGGAAAACAGGGGTTTCTCCTAAAATGGGGTCTGTGGCACCTTCTGTTTTTCCCAAGGAGTCCCAGGCTCCCTTAGGTCCTTTCATGGGCATCAAGAGTGGCAAGAAGATAGACCAGGGAAATAGTCCAGTCAACTGAGAAGAAAAACAAAACTGTTGTAAAGATGGATAAACTGAGGCACAACGCAGTTTAAAAATTCACGTTCACATAGAGCTAGGCTACGCAGCTCGCTGCTCAGTCACTGATGCACTTGTGTGGTAGCTCATGGTGTACTTCACCAACAGGTTTCCTGCCCCCTCAGAGCTTACAACCTGGGTTTCATTTCCTGCTCTACAGCTATATAATTTAACAGTTTTCCTCTCAATGTGTTGGATTCTAACCCTATATATCTCACATTTTATTAATATTACTGAATCTTAAAGGGAGCCATGATGTCTTTAATCCTCAGAAATATTAAACAACCTGGCTGGGTGTGGTGGCTCACACCTGTAATCCCAGCACTTTAGGAGGCCAAGGTGGGCGGATCATGAGGTCAGGAGTTCGAGGCCAGTGTGGCCAACATAGTGAAACCCCGTCTCTACTAAAAATACAAAAAATTAGCCAGGTGTGGTGGTGTGCATCTGTAATCCCAGTTACTCTGGAGGCTGAGGCAGGAGAATAGCTTGAACCCGGGAGGTGGAGGTTGCAGTGAGCTGAGATTGTGCCATTGCATTCCAGCCTGGGCAACATTATGAGATTCCATTTCAAGAAAAAAAAAATATAAAGCAACCTGTAAACAAAGGAGTACATGAGGTTAAACAGTATTCAAATTTCTTTATGCTTTAAAACATTGAGAGAGTATATTGAGAAACACACCTAAGAAACTGCAGTCAATCTACTGTGAACAAAAATTTAGAGAATATCTCTTCAAAATAAGCTATCTAGTGGTATTTATACATATTCTTACATATATCAGCAGTGTTTTACATGCTTGTAACGTTAAACATAATTGAAAAGTGTCAAGATTATAGGGCTTATACATTTCTGTGGGCTTGAAAATGATGCAATATAGATTATTTGTTTCTATAAAGTAGTCAGTAAAATGTACAAACTTCTAAACGGAGTAATAACTAACAAGAGAGTTCATACTGAAGGTAGTAATACTAGGAACAAAAGAGGGCTCAACACTGCCTTCAGGAGAGAAAGGGTCCAGATTGGTATATTTTCTAAAGGCTTCCTCCAGCCTGCCATAAAACACGGCTAGATTTTCCTCCTTGCCCTGTGCAACCTCCCTTACTTTATCATAATTTACTGCCTTAGTTATTCCCTTTTTCATTCCTCCAAGGAGAGCCTTAAGAAATTTGGCCCAGTTGTTCATTCCCATGGGGGTGTTATAGTCCCAGTTAGGATCAGTAGCGGAGACTGTGTCTGGGCCTGGGCAATTACCCTGAGGGTTTTGGGCAAATAAATTGTCTGCTTCTCGGCAAGTGGCCTCAAAGATTCATTCCTTTTCCAACAGGGTGCAACAAGTTGCTGGAATGAATTGAACGTCTCTCTATGAGAGATGAAAGGCTAAGGTCAAAGCTTGGAACCTATCTGCAAATTTTCTGGGGTTCTCTGAATAGCTTCCTAGCTTTTTCTTTACATTGTTGTATGTTATTTATGGAGAAGGGGACCTACACTCAGACCAGCCCCTCGGCTCCTGCTGCTTCCCTAAGGGATAGCAGGGCTATAGAGGTAGTTGAATAGAGTGTTCCCCTCTGAATGTGAGGGGACTTAGCAGGGCCCTTGGTTTTAGCTCTTGGGTTTGAGCCTCAGAAACACTTGGCAAGGGGTTATATGGGGGTGGTTGCCATTGCCCCTGAGAGACAGGTGGCCCTTGCAAAAAGGAGGTCATCCACAATATCCGGTTCTGCCTTAGAACCTGCCCTTTTGGGGGCAGGTTCTGGGAGTTTTGCAGATGGTTGGGTTTTGATATAGGGCCATGAAGGCCTGCACATATGGGATTTCTGACCATTTACACTGCCTTTTGCAAAATAGGTCTAATTGCAGGATGGTGTTGTAATTAAGACTTCCATTGACTCCCCATTATTCCTGGCTGTCTAGCTAATTTTGGGGCCATACAATATTATGGTTAAAAAAAATCAGATGTTTTCTCCTTAGATTGTCAGGGTCAAATTGATTCCAGTGGTTGAGAATGCAGCCAAGTGGGGAATCAGGTGGAATGGATGGAGAGTTGCCCATAGAGGTCTGGAAGAAAGAAGAGAACCTAGCTTATTTGGTGACTCAAATTTTACCTGGGGCATCCCCCTGGAAAAACTCTGGGCCTTGATTGGGGTCCTCAGGGGTGTCCCCCTTTAGGGCCCCATCTTAGTCTGTCAGATGTCTCTGACCTTAGATGGGTGATGGTACCACTTTGGGAAGGTTCTCTCCACCACTGATGACCCACTGTGAGCTTTCCTTTTGTCCCTGGATGAAGGCCTTGTCTTCTAGCATCCATATAATTTGATAAGGCCATGGTTTCCTGTTCCACTGGAGTGATAGCCATGAACTTTAATAATAGGAACTAGAGGTTGGATGGATTTCTTTTGTCATGTGGATTACAGGTAATCTCAAGGGGGGAAAGGTAGATTTTGGGCATGAAAAATGAAATAATAGTGTTGGCTATTCCACTCAGGCCCTCGACAAGAGAGGGAATGTTTAAAAATCCACCACCATGACAGTGGACCCTGTGTAAGGGCAGGCCATTCTATAAAAATAATCTGGTGATGACAAAAGAAACAAGATGTAGAATGTATTCTAAAGATTGTGGGCCCCAAAAGTCCTCAGCAAGTTGAATAGATTGAGTAGGATAAGGGAAGTCAAAACATCTAAGAGATATCCTTTGCCATTACAAGCTAACTCTTTAGGAGAATTTGACATAAGAAAAGAGGGCTTAAGTTGACTGAAACATCTGTGAGTTTGTTCTGGAAGAGCTGCCACTGCCAATTTCGTCACATGTAGGGATTAGGGACTTTAACTAGGAAAGATAGAAAAGAGTACTTCCCCATTCTGGGCAGGGCAGCTATCCCCATTCACTTCTTGGCCTTCAGGTAACACCAGAGAGTGGCTCTGGCTAGTTGCCCTCAATTACCAAGGATCTACTAGGAAACAGCCTCTGAAAGACTGAAAAAAAGAAAAGGACTCAGGTCCCTCACCCAAACCAGGCAATGGTGGTCAGGTGCTTCCACATGGATACCTTTCAGTCTCCCGGGAGAGTGGACCTGGCCAGAGACCTGCAGTTGCCTTCATGCTTAGATGCTGTCTGTGGAGGGTCCCGTGTTGGAAAAGGGAAAGAGAGCAGAAAGGGTTCCCCTCTGTGGAGTGTAGGGAGCTCTGCATGGAGATAGCTCTAGCCTGTGCCCGCAAATGAAGGCTCAATAGAGAGGAAAAGAAAAAGAGCAAAAGCAAAGCAAAGAAAAATAAATCCCCAAATTTGGGCTTACCTCCTGGCTGACTTGCCAAGATATGTTACCAGTGGAGGGTCTTGACTACAAGTTGTCCAGTTTCTTGGCATATTGAACAAAGAATTGGACAAAACGCACAAACAAAGCAATAGAAGACAAAAGCATAGATGTATTGAAGCAAAAGTATACTCCACAGATCAGGAGCAGGCTTGAGCAAGCAGCTCAAGAGCCCTAGTTGCAAATCTTCCGGGGTTTAAGTACCCATTAGAGGTTTCCTATCGGTTACACCCTATATAAATGAAGACTTGGCCCACAACCAATCGGAGGCTGAAGTGAAGGCTCAGCCCGTGATCAATTGGAGGCTGAAGTGAAGGCTCAGCCTACAACCAATCAGAGGCTGAAGTTACATCCTACGCAAATGAAGACTTGGCCCATGACCAATCAGAGGCTGAAGTGAAGGCTGCCTGTCTCCAGACCCTATTCTCCTGCCTAAAAATGGGTCAAAACTCAAAGGGTTGGAAAGAACATATCGTTGGAAAAAAAAAAAAAGTCTCCCTCATACCCTTGTTCCTTTCCTTCGAGGCAACCAGTATTTATCAGATTTATGTGTATCCTTCCCAGATACTTTGCGCCTGTCCTTTAGATAGGTATCCTTGGGGACACATTTAGTGGGTAGGGACAGTCAATCTCTATACTTTTGCTTCTGGCAATAATTATTTGATTTTAATATCTATCACTGGAGTCTTACCAAATTCATGCACTCCACATTATTTCTCTGGAGTCTTTTGCTTTTTGTTGATGAAAACAGAGTTAAAAGGTTTTTATTTCACTAAAATGATCTGTGTAAATAGGGAAGTAATGATTTTAAACTATAGTTCACTGTTTTTTGTTTTTTTTTTTGAGAAAAGATGATTTTGGCGTGAGGAGTTTGTCAGTGTCTAACAATTCTTTCCTATATTTTTCCTGAAGGCGCTTGACTTTGGCAGATATTGAGAGAATAGCCCCATTGGCTGAGGGGGCCTTACCTTACAACCTGGCAGAACTTCAGAGACAGGTATGAGTAATCTCATAAATATGATCACCTTAAAAAAATGCTGAACTAGTAGACTAAATAGGAGCTGACAGCTTCTGAATGCTGTAAAAATTAAAAATTACTTTCCAGAGAAAGACTTTACTTAGCTTAAAGATTACCTTTATAGAACTACTGTTACCCCCACTTTTATAGAATATATATATATTTTTTGAGATGGAGTCTGGCTGTGTTGCCCAGGCTGGAGTGCAATGGCGTGATCTCGGCTTACTGCAACCTCTGCCTTCTGGGTTCAAGAGATTCTCCTGCCTCAGCCTCCCCGAGTAATTGGGATTACAGGCGTGCACCACCACAACTGGCTAATTTTTGTATTTTTAGTAGAGACAAGGTTTTGCCATGTTGGGCAGGCTGGTCTTGAACTCGTGACCTCAGGTGATCCACCTGCCTCGGCCTCCCAAAGTGCTGGGATTACAGGCATGAGCCACCACACCCAGCCTATAGAATATTTTTATGAGATAACTAGATTTATATTTGTGTTTTGTTTTTTGTTTTGTTCAGATAAGGAAAATAAGAGTTCAAACATACATGGGTTTGACCCCGTTCCCCTTAGAATTAGCATTCTTTTCATTTGCCTCGTCACATTTAAAGATTAGTGTTAGGTTTACTTTGTATCATTAAACTGATATTTATAGGGTTTCTAAAATTAAAAAACTTCCCTCAAATTAAATAAATCATTCACTGGGATTGTGCCTTACAGATTACAGCCAGGAAAAAAAAAGTAATTAGTGAAACCAGAAAGAAAACCCTGACTGTTAATTACATTTTTGATAAATATTACTTTTGGTTTTTATAAATGTTAAGAATGATTAAAACAGTAGCTTCTGAGTCCTATAAAATTAATACAATCCCATTTCTGATTTTACAAATACTATCTTGGTAAGAAAAAGAAAATCCATGAAATTACCTTGAAGAGTGGAATGGAACAGTTTTTAATAAATCTCGTTTTAAGTTGAAACTTCCACTTCTATAGCACTTAGGAAGTTTCAGTGGTAGCAGATGATCACATTGCTTTTGTGTGTGGGTAAGGGTTAGGAGGGCCAGTCATTGTCCTCCTGGTACTTTCCTGCTCTAATAGACATGGAACCTGTGTTCCTCATAATTCTCTAGGAGAGTGTGATGCCATACTAGGCAAGGCGACGTGGGGAGGGCATGGATAAAGAAGACAGGATACAGAGAGAGAGAGAGAGAGAGACAGTTACTAAATGTGCATGCTATAGAAAGAGGCTATGTCTGCTCTTTCTTCATTGCTGCCACATTGGTGAGTAGCCAGGGTTGGCTTGCTGTTATTGTTCACCTTCACCAAATGTGTTAATGAAACATCAAGATATGTTTAAGTGTAGTTCGCTTTGGGAAGACTTGGTTAGGAAACCTTTCTTCTACTTGAGCTCCATGGAATGATGATTCTGCCTGTGAAACTAATTAGAATTTACAGTTCTACTTTACATAAGGAACAAGAACATTTTGTAGTCAGGTTGAAGTAAATTGAAAATGGAAAAGAAACCATTATATCTGCATTTTGTATTAATACTTTAACTGTTTGCTTGATGTGTAATAAAGCTTCCTACAGATTAAAATATGTTGTAACTCATTGCAATTTAGCTTCTTTTGTATCAGAAAAACTCTTTTATCTGCTGCCATCAAAGTTTATTTCCAGGCTGGGTACAGTGGCTTATGCCTGTAATGCCAGCAATTTGGGAGCCTGAGGCAGGCAGATTGCTTGAGCCCAGAAGTTCCAGACCAGCCTGGGCAACATGGCAAAACCCCATCTCTACAAAAAAAAAATGCAAAAAATTAGCCAGGCGTGATGGCGTGTGCCTGTAGTCCTAGCTACTTGGGAGGCTGAGGAGGGAGAATCACCTGAGCCCAGGAAGTTGAGGTTGCAGTGAGCGTGACTGTGCTACTACACTCCAGCTTGGGCAACAGAGTGAGACTCTGTCTTAAAAAAAAAAAGAAAAAAGTTTATTTCCATTAGGAGGTCTCAGATCCTTTAAAAATAGATGGATTTATTTCAATTCAGTGATTTTAAAAAAATAAAATTTTATAAAATTATGTTTAATAAAAGGAAAGAATGTGAAAAATTTTTAATAAAATTAAGAGACATTGAAATATTTAAAGAGCTCTTACTGAATTTAATTTTATTTTTTGTAGCCTATACATCTGTGAAAATTTGCTCTTGAATTTTGAAAAATTGCATTTCAAAAGAAGATATTTTGCAGTGTTGCATGTGTCTATTGATATAGCTCTCCCTGGAGGTTTCCTTAATATTTGTAATTGGGGAATATTTCATTTAGCTTATTAAAAACATTGAATTTAAAAGTCTCAACTCATTTCTCCTCCTCAGTTTTTCTGCTGCTTACTTTTCTATTCACCCACCTCTCTTGCCCCTAGCAATTTTCCTAGAGGCCATATCTGAAGCTTGTTTTGCAATCTTTGGCACCCTGAGTCTGCATCCTTCACATTTCTTCATCCTTAGGAAAGTGATGTAATTTTGCTACTGCTGTGAATTCTTTTTAAGACAGATTCAAGATGATTTGCCTGTCTTCAGTGGCAGCGCTGATGCTTTTATGCTGGGATGGGTGGCCTCAAGGGTCTTTTCAGATATTTAGGAAATGGGCAGTGATAAAAACCACCATTTTCTTCTTCCCTGGGTCTCTGATTGGTATCCAGAGTGATGGGGAGTGCTTTCTCTGCCTTTCCTTAACCAGTGAGATAGTACAGGGATCTAGAATTTCTGGAGAGCTGGTAGAAGTCTTAGGTATTCTTACATTGTCCCCAAAGGAAGAACCTCAGAGTCTCAGGACAATTTTTTTTTTTTTTTGTGGAGACAGGGTCTCACTCTGTCAGCCAGGCACAATCACTGTTCACTGCAGTCCTGACCTCCCCGGCTCAGGTGATCCTTCCACCTCAGCCTCCTGAATAGCTGGGACTGTAGGCATACACCACCATGCTCAGCTAATTTGTTTTCAGTAGAGACAGGGTTAAGCCATGTTTCCCAGGCTGGTCTCAAACTCCTAAGCTTACATTAATCCACTGATCTTGGCCTCCCAAAGTGCTGGGATTACAGTGTGTGTGAGCCACTGCACTCAGCTAAAATGTTTGATGTTTCCTCTCACATAGAAGATAGTCTTTCTACTGAGGATTAGGTACAGAGAAATAAAAATTAAGGTCTTAAGTGTATATTTTCCTGTACATTATTATAGGAACAAAATCTGAGAAAATAGAACTCAACAGAAATAATAAATAATTATTAGAATTTTATAGAAACAGATTTGTGAAGGTTAAGGATTCAGATTAATGTCCACTAATGGCCATTGTGAAATCTGATCTTTACTGTCCTTGAGATTTGATACAAGTTTATTTGGGACTCAGTTTTCCCTTTAATAAAGTGAGTATCTTCATGTATTTCTGAGAAGCCTTCAAGCTCCTGCATTCTGTAGAATGGTATGTATCAATGGATTTTATTTTCAGAATTCTAAATTTATCCTCCTTTTTCCTTTGTAACATTTAAAATTTTATAAGGAATACAGGCTGGACTCAAGTAGAATAATATGAAAATATGCTTAAGTTCTTATAGCAACCAAAGTAATGGAATAAACTTTCTTCAATTTTCAGCCTTGAAAAAACATTCCTCAGTTAACATATTTCAGGTTTATGAGGCATTGTAAGGCAGCCATATAGACTACAATCCTAGTGACTCAGTTTTTAACATTCTTTAGTTCACAGAATTTCAGTAATGCTAACCTTAACTATTCCCATGTTACTTCCAGAAGATATCTTGATTTGATTCTCTTGTAATTTTTCCTATATTGCCAAATTAGAAGTACATAATTACTTACATTTATTATGCAGAGTATTCCCTTATATGAATCTATTAGAAACCTAAATATAAAATAGGAAGAAGGATATATGTCTTGTTATCTCACCTTATGAAAGTTGTTATGAAAACACTTGTTTATGATGGAGAATCTGTGAGTCCAGAACTAGAAGTTATGAGGGAGAGAGTAGTTAAGAGCCTGGCCACTGATTATGTAACATCCTCTCATTCTGTTTCCTCATTTATTAAATAGGGACAGTATGCCAGGCACAGTGGCTTGTGCCTGTAATTCCAGCACTTTGAGAGGCCAAGGCGGGCAGGTTGTTTTGAGCCCAGGAGTTTGAGACCAGCCTGGGCAATATGATGAAACCCTGTCTCTAAAAAAACATACAAAAAATTAGCCAGGCATGGTAGTATGCACCTGTAGTCTCAGCTATTTGGGAGACAGAGGTGGGAGGATTGCTTGAGCCCAGGAATTTGAGGCTGCAGTCAGCTGTGATCACACTACTGCACTCCAGCCTGAGTGACAGAGTGAGACCCTGTCTCAAATAAATAAATAAATAGGGATAGCAGTATGCATCTTTATAGGATTGTTATGGGAATTACATGAGTAATAATACACTTACATTAAGCCTGACACCTGCTAAGCATGCAATAAATGTTAACTGCTATTATTGTGCTTATTACTGTTATCAAATATGAGAAGCCCATATAAGCAAACTCCAAGATGGGCTGAAACATATATGTGACACAACTGCTTAATCTACCCTCATCTACTTCCATTAGGTAGAAGGGGATGGGAAGTGAGGAAAAAGTATTAATATATCTTTGTATTTTTTAAGTGCCTGAAATGTTTTATATTTTAATTTTTTGATGCTGGCTGAAATTTTACCAGGCCTGTTTTTAAAAATTTTTAATTAATGATGGATATTCAACAAGGAAAAAAAATCACTACCCCATACCATACACAAAAGTCTTTTCCTGTTCCTAAATGTGAAAGATTAAAGAGGATAACACAAGATATTCTATTTATGATCTGGAGATAGGCAGAGATTTTGTGAATAGTACAGAACACCAGTCATAAAGAAAAAGATTAATAAGTTAAACTTCATTAGATTTAAGAACTTTTATCAAAATATACCACTAAGAGTGTGAAAAGACAAGTTACACAATAGGCAGAGATATTTGCAATAATTTAAATAATAGAGGATCTGTATCCAGAATATATAGTATAATAAACTTGTGCAAATTTATAAGCAAAAGGCAGGCAATGCAATAGAAAAATTGGCTAAATACCTGAACAGAAACCTCACAAAAGAGGATATCCAAATGGTAAGGAAAAATAATAGAAAAGTTTAATATCATTAGTACAAGAAAACACACATTAAAACTGCAATGGGATGCTATTTTATACTATCCAGATTGATCAAAATTATACTCTGACAATGGCAAGTGTTGTTCAAGAGGTGAAGGAATGGAAATTGCTAGCATCACAACTTTGGCAACTATTTGTCAGTACCACTGCAGTTGAAGAAACACATACCCCGTGACCTGTTGGTTCCTCTCCTGGGTGTAGTCCCTAACAAAAATGTTTACACATGTGTGTTAAGAGATATGTACAAGAAAGTTTAGGCCGGGTGTGGTGGCTCACACCTGTAATCCCAGCACTTTGGGAAGCTGAGGTGGGTGGATCACTTGAGGTCAGGAGTCTAACATGATGAATCCCCATCTCTACAAAAAATACAAAAAATTTAGCCAGGCATAGTGGTGCACACCTATAGTCCCAGCTGCTCGGGAGGCTGAGGCACGAGAATTGCTTGAACCCAGGAGGTAGAGGTTGCAGTGAGCCAGGAATGCGCCACTGCACTTTAGCCTGGGCAACAGAGGGAGACGCTGTCTCAAAAAAAAAAAAAAAAAAAAAAAAAAAAAAGAATGTTTATAGCTGCGTTATTTGCAGTTGCAAAAATATTGGAATCTAAATACTCACCAACAGTAGAACGGATAAATATGTTGTGCTATTAAGATGACCTACAGTGAGAGAAATGGAAATTTTGATTTGAGGGAAGTGAGATAAAAGAGGAGGTGGGTTGCAGAAAGAAGAGGATGTATATTTTTGAAGCATGTAACAGTTTGGATATTAAAACCAGGTTATAGACCAATTTTGGTCCTATGTGAAAATGGGAAAACAAACCTTCTCTTTTTCTTTTTTTTTTTTTTTTTGAGACGGAGTCTCGCTCTGTCGCCCAGGCTGGAGTGCAGTGGCGGGATCTCGGCTCACTGCAAGCTCCGCCTCCCGGGTTCACGCCATTCTCCTGCCTCAGCCTCCCAAGCAGCTGGGACTACAGGCGCCCGCCACTGCGCCCGGCTAATTTTTTGTATTTTTAGTAGAGACGGGGTTTCACCGTTTTAGCCGGCATGGTCTCGATCTCCTGACCTCGTGATCCGCCCGCCTCGGCCTCCCAAAGTGTTGGGATTACAGGCGTGAGCCACCGCGCCCGGCCTCTTTTTCTTTACTGTATATTACATAATTACTTTTTTCAACTGTATGGGATAAATGATCTGTGATAGACCTGCTTGGGTATATATGTACTTTCTTTAAAAAAGTTTTGTTTCTATGGGAAATTATATTAAAGCTATAGGCCACTCACTAAAAAAACTATGGAATATAAGCTGGATTGTGTTCTGTCAAAACATCATTAGAATTATTAAGAATTATTATTTTAACTTTTAAGTTTGGGGGTACATGTGAAGGTTTGTTACATAGGTAAACGTGTCATGGGGTTTTTTTGTACATAGTATTCCATCACCCAGGTATTAAGCCCAGTACCCGATAGTTATCTTTTCTGCTCCTCTCCTTTCTCCTCCAGTCCTCCCTCAAGTAGACCCCAGTGTCCGTTGTTTCCTTCTTTGTGTTCATAATAAGCTCTTATCACTTAGCTCCCACTTATAAGTGAGAACATACGGTATTTGGCTTTCTGTTCCTGTGTTAGTTTGCTAAGGATGGTGGCCTCCAGCTCCATCCATGTCCCTGCAAAAGACAGGATCTCATTCTTTTTTATGGCTGCATATTAGAATTACTTTTATCTTTATTTTGTGTATAGCGTTCCTTAGACATAGGACTTTGTTTTCTTTGTGTAATTTGCATTTCTGTGGACCTTCTTTGAATTTTGGATTCATGAGCACATATAGGAAGACATTACTGTCCATTTAGGAATTCCTTTTTTTGGAACATTTTACCTCTTTCACCTGTGATATTTTACCACAAATGGAAGTCTGTTCTCAAAAAGAAAGTTAGGTTTATTTATTAGTCTATTATTAGCTATTATTTATTAGTCATTTAACTCATTTAAATTTAACTCATTTAAATTATTAGATTTGAAGACTTAACTATAGTCTTTAACACAACTTAACTCCCTTTTTGCTGAGAGAAAAATATGTATTGTTTAGCATTCAGGGGAAAATTATATATATATTAATATATATAATATATAATAAGTATTATATATTATATATTATTATGTATATAACATAATTATATACTTATATAATTATATAATATATATTATATATAATATATTATATATAATATAAATACATATATAATAATATATATAATTATATATTATGTATTATATATAATTATAATTCTATATTATGTATTATATATTATGTAAATATATAATGTATACATTATATATATTAGTATATATTATATACATATATAATATGTATTATATATTATATATTAATATATAATACGTATTATACATATATAATACGTATTATATATCATATATTTTATATTTATATATAATATGTATTATATATTATATATATATTTTATGTATATATATATTTTTCCTTCATCTCCTTCTCCTATACTGTCATGGCTTTAGGTTTTAATCTTACTTTTTAAGGCCAAGAATATTGAATTCAAATCCCAGACTATTGAAGTCATAGATGTAGTTTGCAGACAGAAAAATTTTGTTTTGTTTTCTCTAGCCTTATTTTGCCATTCCAGTCATACATTTTTGTTTTTATAGAATCTAGCCTTTTTTCCCCCTTCCAATGCTTGATATAAAAACTTTAGCTATTTCTCCCTTTTATTCTACCCATTAATAGTGTGTCATTTGAAAGAGGTAGTTCTCCCTATTGAGTTGGCAGTGTGGTTTGGGCAGGTTTGACTTGTTAACTGACATAATCTTGCCTTATCTAATGCATCATCACTGCTCACTGCAGCCTCAACCTCCCAGGCTCAAGTGATCCTTCCACTTC
The DNA here is from genome assembly GCF_000001405.40 of Homo sapiens. Lineage (NCBI taxonomy): Eukaryota > Metazoa > Chordata > Mammalia > Primates > Hominidae > Homo > Homo sapiens. The sequence continues at coordinate 248,845 of NW_025791761.1, read as the reverse complement.
AGCCTCTCAAGTAGCTGGGACCACAGGCATGTACTACCATGCCTGGCTAACTTTTGTATTTGTTGTAGAGATGGAGTTTTACCATGTTGCCCAGGCTGGTCTTGAACTCTTGGGCTCAAGTGATCTTGCCTGCCTCAGCCTCCCAAAGTGCTGGGATTACTGCTATGAGCCACATCACTAGACCTAATTCTCACTTACAAAATGAGATACGTATAACAAAAAAATGAAGAGAACATCTCTTTAAATGAGGTCTCAACTTATTTCCTATCATACACATATGCTTAGGGAGTAGGTTAAAAATCATTTAAGATTCTCAACTCTTGTTTTGAAAAACACTTAATTAACCTTGTTAAATATCAAACTTTACGACCATAATCATAACCTTAAGGGAAAGAGCGTCTTTTCCTTTGGCCCATTTGCTCACGGCAGGCAATCTTCTTAGTGCTGAGTGTTTTCCTTCAGCCTAAATGCTAAAAATTCAGGACACAGTCATTAATAGGGATGACAGCGGTAGCATTTCATTTATGAATATTCATGAAGTGAAATCCATAGCATTAATTACATTAATTTACATACCTGAATACAAGTGAGCCATAAGTGATAACTAAGCCTTAAAAAAATGTTGCTAACCATATATTGTATGTTTTCTTTTAAATGTTATTTAATAAGGGTGAAGGTGACATTTCTGTCAAAAGGCATTTGGGTATTTATAGTTAGAAATGTTTTTAGCAAAGAATTAAAGCACAGTATAATCCTTCAGTTTTCATAGGATTTTGTAGGGCTTATAAACATTCTTTAAAGGAAGAAAGTATACAGAAAAATATATGCAGTTGAATACAGGAGAAACCTTTTATATGAATAAGGGTATTAGTGGTTACTTGATGCTTATTTAGGATCATAGGCTTTTTATTCTGTGAGTTTTAATTCAACATATTCTTTTGAAAGGATACATGATTGAAAATAATTCATAATCTATGAGAATGAAATTTATTTTCATCCAGTTTTGTGATTGAGAAACTCTAAGTGGGGGAAATAACATTCTACATACATTTTTTTTTTTTTTTTTTTTTTTGAGGCAGAGTCTTGCTCTGTCACTCAGGCTGGAGTGCAGTGATGTGATCTCAGCTCACAGCAACCTCCACCTCCAGGTCCAAGTGATGCTCCCACTTCAGCCTCCCAAGTAGCTGGGATTATAGGCACCTGCCACTATACCTGACTAATTTTTGTATTTTTAGTAGAGAGAGGGTTTCACCATGTTGGCCAAGCTGGTCTTGAACTCCTGAACTCAAGTGATCCGCCCACCTTGGCCTCCCAAAATGCTCAGATTACAGGTATGAGCCACTGTGCTGGCCCAGTGCATTTTTAAAGAAGTTAAAAACGTATGCCAATGTGTTTAGTAGGTAGCATAATAGCTATATTGATTTTAAAATGTGAGCTAAAATGCCTGTCTTTGTTTGGACTCCTATTACAAATTACCATAGGTGGTTTAGATAGCAAACATTTATTTCTCATAGTTCTAGAGGCTAGAAAGTACAAGATCAAGGTGCTGGCCGATTCAGTTACTGGTGAGGGCCCTATTCCTAGTCTGTAGACAGCAGGCTGCTTGTTATATCCTTGTTATAAGAGGGAGAGATAGAGGGAGGTCGTCTTTCTTGTGTCTTTTCTTATAATGGCACTAATCCTATCATGAGGGCTCCATTTTCATGACCTAATTACCACCCAAAGTTGCCACCTTCACATCACATACAATCACATTGGGCAGTAGGGTCTCAACACATGAATTTTGGGGAGTCACAAGCAGTGAATCTGTAGCAATGCCATAACTTGAATTCCTTCAAAGTATATGAGATTAAATATCATCATTGCCTTGAAAGGACAGATTGTGTATATGTTTTCAACTGTTGTCTTTGAAACAAAGTATCAGAATTAACTGGTTAATCAACATTTTAGAAACTCATTGAAGCATATTCAGTTAATTATACTGAAGCATATTCAATATAGTGGGCCCTCCATCTGCTTGAGTTTCATGTCCTTGGATTCAGCCAACTGTGGATGGAAAATATTTGGGAAAAAACAAACAATAAAAAATAACACTACAACAATAAAAAAATACAAAATTTAAAAATACAGTATAACAACTATTTACATCTTATTTACCTTATATTAGGTATTAGAAGTAATGTAGAGATGATTTAAAGAATACAAGAGGATGTGCATAGGTTATGTGAAAATACTACACTATTTTAGATAAGGGACATGAGCATCCATGGATTTTGGTATTTGAAAGTAGTATCAGGAATATTTTTGTGCCAGGTGAGGTGGCTTATGCCTGTAATCCCAGCACTTTGGGAGGTTGAGGTGGGAGAATAGCTTGAGCTCAAGAGTTTGAGACCAGCCTGGGCAACATAAACAGACCCCATCTCTACAAAAAATTTAAAAATTAGCTGGGCATGGTGGCATGCACCTGTAGTCCTAGCTACTTCGGAGGCTGAGTCGTTGGGATGGCCTGAACCTGGGAATTTGAGGCTGCGGTGAGCCATGTTTGTGCCACTGCATTCCAGCCTAGGCATCAGAGTGAAACCCTGTCTCCAAAAAAAAAAAAAAAAAAAAGGAATATTTTTGCATTAATTAATAAGTGAAATATAAAATTACTTAGAAATATTTATCTCATTCTATAATTTCTATTTTTGTATATACTTTAAAATACATCTTATGTGTAATTTTATAATGTATATTAAGTTTATGTATATATAATTAAGACGTTGGCAAATATGTGAACTTTTTATTTAGTTTATTCTGTCATTTCATACTGTTTACATAGTATAGAAGGTCTTTTCATAGTGAAAATATTAAAGAACAAGACTGACACACTAGTATAGACAAGTTATCTTAGATCCTTTCTTTATGCTGTGGGATACCTGTGAAATAACATCTGGTGGAATTTTTCTCTTTTTTATTATTATAGATTTTTATGTTAGAACTGTGGCAGTAGTCATTAGAGATGGTAGATTATGATCAATATTCTCTGATTTAAGAATCAAGTTAATTTTTATACACTTTAGAAAGCTTTTTAAATTTTAAGTTAGTTAAAGAAGGAAAAAAATTTTATAACTGAAATGCTTGTTTACCTGAAAGATTCACTTCTGTAAACTGATAGTGTATTCCCCCAACAGTAGCAGATAAATGAGGCATTAATAGGCTTGTAAAAATTGGGGTAAGTGGGAAGCTACTGTGTATTTGGCCTAACATGGTTTTTAAATGCTGACAATAGAGTTATCTATTTTTAAATACATTGCTTTCATTTTTGGCTGCATGAATATCCTATTTTCTTCTTTTAGAAAAGATATTACTGCATTAACAATATCACTTTTAGGTTTTGTTTTTTCTTGTCTTAAAATAGTCAAATTGTAGCTTTTTCACTTGCTGTGTGCGCTTTCAAGATTTTTTTTTACCCGTTTTCTTCTCTGCAGCAGTCTCCTGGGTTAGGCAGGCCTATCTGGCTCCAGATTGCCGAGTCTGCTTACAGATTCACTCTGGGCTCAGTTGCTGGAGGTGAGTGACATGTCTGTGTGCTGTTTGAGGCTTGTGTTAATGTAATATTATCTCACCAGACTGAGGCAGATCAGCAAAGGTGCAGTTCATTGTTCCCATGGGTCACGACTTCAGGGCTTTCTGAAGTGTTCTTTATTTTTACCTATGATCAGGAGACTTGTCGTAGCAATGGCTATGACCATCTGGCTCCAGTCTGTCTTCAGGACAGAACCTCTGTAATGATGTGAAAGTCTGGGATGCAGTGCTGCACTCACCTTAATTATACTGGCTAAGGCCAGTATGAAAAAATGGAAAATGAGACTGTGTTTATGGGACAGGTTAAGAAATTGAGATTCGCTATTATCCTTAGCAAACTAACGCAGGAACAGAAAACCAAATACCACATGTTCTCATTTATAAGTGGGAACTAAATAGGAGCTTATTATGAACACAAAGAAGGAAACAACAGACACTGGGGTCTACTTGTGGGGGAGGGTGGCAGGAAGGAGGGGAGCAGAAAAAATGACTGTTGGATGCTGGGATTAATACCTGGGCGATGAAATATGTACAACAAACGCCCGTGACACGTGTTTACCTATGTGACAAACCTTCATATATACCCCACACCTAAAATAAAACTAAAAAAAAAAAGAAAGAAATTGAGATTTGGGATATGAATCCCAGAACCTCGTGAAATAAAAGAGCCTCTCAAAGTGACCCAGTTTTGCTTTTCTGCTTGTATGTTTTCCTTTCCCTTATCGCTTGCTTAACAATATCTGGACTTGATGTTTATTTGCAAAAATGAACCTCCCTTCCCTCCCTGTTCACAGCCAAAATTTGAGAGACTGTTTTTGCTTAAATACTCTACTTAGAAAATGTGTACAATCTGAAGTTGCTTTGTTGAGAAGAAGCTAGCAGGTGTGATTAAAATGCTTACGATTTTTTAAGATAAGCCTGAACTCAAAAGACTTTTTTTTTTCTTTTCACTCTCAGTTTTAGAAGTTGCAAACCAGGTTTTGGCTTTCAGCAGTCAAAATGTGTAATACTCTCGTTCATGTAAATAAATTTTCATTCCCTGAGAAATTCTAAAGCATAGCCATATTTTCTTTTAAACCAAATTCTATACATAGGGATAGGATAATGTTGAAGTGTGTTTCTAATATTATGGTTGTAACTATGATTAATTTACCAAGATGCTTTATTAAACTAAATTTTAAAATCGTAGCCACCTAGTGTACGGATATAGTCATTTTAAGAAGTAACTGGCATAATATTTAAGCATTTAATGGAAAATATAAATAAATGTTATACATAATAGTTTAATGTTGTTACTATAGAAAACTGAGTGTTGATTATCTAATTTGGGAAGTGACTCGATAATCCACTCTGTAGTTTATGAACCTACGATATCAAAGAGCATTCTTGACAGTTGTTTTCTGAAGCAGCTGTATTTATGGATTTCAGTGCTTGCTATAGCCTGCTATCCCTAAGGTGTTTGTGAGGGAAAGAAAAATAATAAACTCTCTTTTGTGAGAATACATGTTGTGTTTTATTTTCTCATCCTTTAAGATAAGATTTGTCATCCTTATGGACTCTCCATTTAATTGTGTTCTTTTTTAAGCCTAAAAATTGTTCTGTTTGTAGCTGTGGGAGCCACTGCAGTGTATCCTATAGATCTGGTGAAGACCCGAATGCAAAACCAGCGTGGCTCTGGCTCTGTTGTTGGGGAGCTAATGTACAAAAACAGCTTTGACTGTTTTAAGAAAGTCTTGCGTTATGAGGGCTTCTTTGGACTCTACAGGGGTGAGTAAGCAAATCCCAGCTGCTGAAGTTAGTGATTTGATCTCACCAGCAGCAGATTTTAACTCACTAATTATGGAAGCCAATATGTAGTATGCCTAGCCAGACTAGGTCTGTTTCTCTCTTTTTATTTTCTCTTTGCTCATTTCCCTTTTTGCATTCTTTCTGGTGATTAGCAATATTAATCTGCAAATAAGGTCTTCATTTCTTCTTCTTGTGGTTTATATTTCTTGGTGTCCAAATTATGTGTTTGTCCCAACATGGGTCTATGTCACCATGCTCCTACAAACCAAGGCACATATCTGCAGGTGGAATACAAGGATGATAGTTAAGAAATATAGAGCTGCTTTTCTCAAAGAATTAAAGAGGAGAAATACATCTCTTTCCTGTGAAAAAGAATCCAGGTTACCACTCAAAGATGAGTTTACCCTCCATATATTTATTTCAACTGAAATAAATATCAAATGTTTTTGTCTCTTTCAGGGACCATTTATAAATTTTTTCCAATGAGCCATCTGAAGGTTTAAAAAAAAAAAAAAAAAGGAAAACCCTTTGGTTCCAAGTCTAATTCTTGCTTCTTTCCCCCACTTAGCTCAGAGGTGTACAGTCAAAACAGAGAGATTTTCTTTCGCAGGGAATGTTAGCAGCCACTCTAGACTGAGCACAGTGCAGTTGGCATCAGAGGCAGCACTGCGCCCCATGCAGAATTTTCCCCACCCCCCGTTGTCTTTGTAGGAACTTGTCTCTTTGGAGAGAGAATGACTTTCATGTATGTGTTTTCACATTAGAATATAGGGTTTCCTTTGGGAGGGAGATTAATTTTTTAATCTCTTTGGGCGCCACTTGGGATTCTATGAAAATACTCTCTACATGCTCAAGTCCATGCCATTTATGTAATTTACTGTACTTGTTTGTTTGCACATACAAGCTCATTAATCCCTAGCCTATTCTGAGCTCTGTTGAACTATTTGGCTTAGAAATCTTCCTAAGAAAGACTGGGCCCGAACAGAGCTTTATGCTCATGGACAGGAGGAAAAAAACACCGCTGGTTAGCATTATATACAGGTATTCAAGCAAAAAATATAACTCCGATAAACTCATAATTGAAGTAGAGGGTCACAAGGATGTTCATTTTTAGCATTATATATAGAATAATAGGAGAGAGTTATTCCGAAATCAAACTAGGCTCAAGTACCCTGCTCTTGAGAATGAATGTGATGAGTTTTCCTCAAATATTCAGAACTGTAGTCTCTTTGAATTCCACCTGTACAGCATGTACCCTGTGGAAAGGCGTACAATATCCAGAATGCAGACCTTTCCATGTGAATGCTTGTTTTAACTGATTAAACCCTGCATATCCAGATTTTATTTAATGGGGAATCAAGGTTGAGTGGCATTAAGGTTGTTTTTTTCCTTGATATCTCCAATATTTCTTTGTTGAATAATGACCTTTCTCCTCTTTGGTATACTTTTAAATTGCAAAGAAAATGTCCCCTATTAAAAGGAACCTAGATATTTACTGCATAGTTTAGCCTTCTCAATGGATAGATGCTTACAGAAGATTTCATTTGAGAGAGATGTCATGTTTATTAAATGGATGCAATATAGCAAGTAGGGGAGGGGATTGTTGGTTTTATTCAGGATGTAAGCTCATAAAAGCAGTTCTTTAAATGAGAGACTTTTGTATTAGGGAGAAGATTGTAGGAGTCCTGTATGTGAGCACTATGATTATTGAGATTGTCATATATTGCTTGCAACTGGTCCATTATTCTGTCAGATGATTGACAAAATTGTTGACAGATTAGCTAAATTTCTTCGCAGGCAACAATGATAAAATGACACAAATCAGTACTTTATTAAATTCCATGAGCCTTATTGAGGCGAGTTGTAAAACAAATATGCATGCTGACATGGTTGTATGGGAGTTAGATTAAAAGTAATAGAGCCTGATAATCACGAGGGTTAGAAAGTTAATACTGCCATCTGCTGATTTGTTCTTTTAAATCAGTCTGCTACGCATGAAAGGTGTGTGAGGCTTTGTGTGTATCATTGATAATTCAGCCTGACTGACAGTAGCCTATATGTATGATTACTTGTGGCTCTCAACTTATGGAACTCAGCAGTATCCTCAAAGCAGGCTTAAGATCAGCAGTCAGCAAGCAGGCAAACACATATATAACTCCCCTTTGGCTGGATGATTTAAAGGATATAAAATGTTTATTGTTAGCATCTTTAAAAAATGTATGCAAAAAAGTATGCTAACAATTTGGATAAGCTGTGTGCTTTAGAAAGCTGAGCCCAACAGATGTTGAATTGTTTATTTTTTTCTTTTCCAGTTTACAACCAGCCTGGGGAATTTAACTTTCTAAGGATTATGATTTCCTTTGTTTTGAGGGGATTCTTTTAAAATGTCTTAAGCTTGACATATATTAGTCAATAAGAATACAACAGGCATATGTTTTTGCTTATAGGAGATACTCGTTAAACAATACTTAAAACTGCATTTTTCTTTGCAGTTTTGGCTTCCTTTTAAATAAATGAATATTGAATGCTGTGTTTCTCTGAAGAGAAGATTATGGGAGTTAGTATTCTATAATAACGAAGCCACTGTATGCCATTATGTAGGTAGCAAAATCTGGGTATGCTTAACAGCATGCTTTTCAGAGCTTTTCCAAGTGTACAGTATCTGTGTATGTTTATATGTTGTTGGTTGTAATAAGGGAGGGAATTTGGTTACATTGTTATTGGCAGTGTTCCCAGAATAGAGAAGACGCATGGCTCCGTTTCTTCTTCATGGACTTTTTGGGAAGTGTTGGATAACTAGGCTTTAAAGTAAGCATGCTTAAGAAGAGGATTTATAGCCTCAAGAAAACGTGACATTATACTGCATTTGTAAATAATTATTACATATGTATACAGAGTTTTAAGGATAATCTTTTTCCCATTTTAATGAAAACTCTGCAATGTTTGATGGGTAAATAATATGGGGGAAACTCTTTGTTGCTGGGCTTGTGTATTCATGTCTGGTACAGCTATATTGCTGATGATTCTGTCCCTTTACCTAGGTCTGATACCACAACTTATAGGGGTTGCTCCAGAAAAGGCCATTAAACTGACTGTAAGTTTATCTCTAACTGAATTTATGTCATTTGTTTAGATTACCATTAAGCCAAAAAGCTAAAATCAAGGCTAGGCGTGGTAGCTCATGCCTATAATCTCAGCATTTTGGGTGGTGGGAGGATCACTTGAGACCAGTTCTAAACCAGCATAAGCATAGTAAGAACTCAGCTCTACCAAAACAACAACAACAACAACAAAATTAAAAATTAGCCAAGTGTGGTGATTTATGCCAGGAGGCTGATGTGGGAGGATTGCTTGAGTCCAGGAATTTGAGGCTGTAGTGAGCTATGATCATGCCACTGCACTCCAGCCTGAGCAACAGAGTGAGACCCTGTCTCAAAAACAAAACTAAAATTGATGCTGCTGACACTGGCACACTGTCGCAGAATTTGTACAACTTTAATTTTACATGTAAGCATTTGATAATTTTAAATTTTATCATAAGACAAATATTTTGCTGACTTGGAAAAGCAACAGTATGCCAGAAGAGAAATGGTTGGGAATTTTGGTTAACTGATGTTGTCTTTCTAATTAGGTTAATGATTTTGTTCGGGACAAATTTACCAGAAGAGATGGCTCTGTTCCACTTCCAGCAGAAGTTCTTGCTGGAGGCTGTGTAAGTATTACTGTTAGGCGCTTCTTGTGACAAATACATTCCGTTGACCTTTTTGCACAGATATAATAGATATCTTAGTGGCATTTCTCTTGAACTCAAGGGATTCTAAGCAGGTTTTCTCAATAATCATATGGAATAAGTTTTAAATTTTATTGTAAAAGCTAACGGGTTTTGAGTGTAGAAAAGAGGTAGCATTTTCCGCCAGTTAGAATGGTGATCATTAAAAAGTCAGGAAACAACAGATGCTGGAGAGGATGTGGAGAAATAGGAACCATTTTACACTGTTGGTGGGAGTGTGAATTAGTTCAACCATTGTGGAAGACAGTGTGGCAATTCCTCAAGGATCTAGAACTAGAAATACCATTTGACCCAGCAATCCCATTACTGAGTATATACCCAAAGGATTATAAATCATTCTACTATAAAGACACATGCACACATATGTTTATTGTGGCACTATTCACAATAGCAAAGACTTGGAACCAACCCAAATGCCCATCAGTGACAGACTGGATTAAGAAAATTTGGCACATATACACCATGGAATAATATGCAGCCATAAAAAAGGATGAGTTCCTGTCCTTTGCAGGGACATGGATGAAGCTGCAAACCATCATTCTCAGCAAACTGTCACAAGGACAGAAAACCAAACACCACATGTTCTCACTCATAGGTGGGAATTGAACAATGAGAACACCTGGACACAGGGCAGGGAGCATCACACACTGGGGCCTGTCATGGGGTTGGGGGTTGGGGGTTGGGGGAGAGATAGCAGTAGGAGAAATACCTAATGTAAATGATGAGTTGATGGGTGCAGCAAACCAACATGGCACATGTATACCTATGTATCAAACCTGCACATTGTGCACATGTACCCTAAAACTTAAAGTATAATAACAAAAAAAGAGGTGGCATTTTCATCAGCTCTATCTCTTTGATGCTCCTAAAGCATTACCTTCCAGACTTTTTTAAAAGTTCTAATTCCTATGCCTTTTAAGAAATAGAGTACAGAAAATATAGTAGTGGATAGAGTTACCATTCATATATGTTAACTGGAACTTTAAAACAAGTGTGAGATGGCTGATTAATTGGGCCCTTATATCTTAGGTATAGGACTGAGTAAGCCATTGTTTAATAATAATTTTTCTTCTTTAGAGGCCAGAGGGTATGGCAAACAATAATAACGGTAACTACATTTCAGCTATTGACAGAAATTCTGAACCAAGAGACTCAGATATTTACTTAGCGCACAAAGGTTTCTGTCTTTAAAGTGTAAGCATGACATGATTATTGGCAAACAATAATAACGGTAACTACATTTCAGCTATTGACAGAAATTCTGAACCAAGAGACTCAGATATTTACTTAGCGCACAAAGGTTTCTGTCTTTAAAGTGTAAGCATGACCAATTCTTAAATCTATTTGCAGCTCAACTAATTTCATTTGTGGTATTTGTTTCATATTTGATAACACATGGTTCGTTTCAGACTTGTTTAGTCCATTTTGTTCTTGGAAACATTAATAACTTCCAGTTGAATTGGCTGACAGTCTTGGCTAAAACTTCCTCAGTTGCTTGTGAAACCTGAAGTGATGAGGTCAGTGACCTTGGCAACATTTAATTCAGAGACACTGCCTCGGGGGTCAGAGAGAGAGAGAGGTTGCTCCAGATTCTCTTTGATATGTGTCAGTGTGGCACATACCTGAGTCCTCTGCAGAGTTGCTTTGGAAGAGGTGGACTGCTGTGTGGGTGTGTGTGTGCCTGTATGCATGCCCCAGCACATTCTCAGGAAGGAAATCTCTTTGGCTACATTTCTTTTTTAATGAAGAGTTAACAGTGGACATAGAATAAAACTTTTGCTTAGGTGGATCACCAAAAATGAAGTTTCTCTTCTTCCTTTATTCCAATTAGATTCTGTAATTGGTTCTTATCTAGAGAGCGAACCTTTGCCAATCATAAATATTCTTTTTCTTGGTCATTTTAAGTTTCTGTTTGGTTAAGAAGCTTTCTAACTCATTTTTATCACAGCACATGCATACCTTTGCCAGAAATATAAGTCATGCTCTTTCTGTTCCATGTAGCTAATTATTTGTTTCCGTTTGCAATATCCAGGTTTTTGGTCATGAAGCTGACCTGTTTCCATGTCTGACATGTGACCTAAGTGGTTAAACCAAAATAAGATGTTTAGTTCCTTTGTTCTTCCTAGCTACCGACCCTGTTTATAGGTTTGAACTTTAGGAATTTCTATTGAAGTCTGGGTTGCCTTGAGGGTTGTGCTGACACTCTAAATCTCTTCCTTAATCATGACTCATTTCTGGAGGCTTTGATGGATTGTCTAGTGGGAAATTGACAGCATGAAAAATAGTCAGGTTGGACTCTAGGCAGAATGATAAGGTTGTCTGCAGTTCTTCACCACAAACGTTTTCTGCTTCCCCCTTGCTCTAAATCTCTTCTTTCAGGGAAGAAGAAAAAAGTGCAATTATTGAGTTTCTACTGACAAATTCAGTTATGCTATGCTATAAATGATTGTTAAAACATAATTCACTGTTTCTCCCCAAAGTCTATAAATTTCAACAGAGAATAAAGTCTTAAAAAGAATGAGTCTCTCTTTATAGAATATCAGGCTGTATGGGACATAGGATACTCCATTTCCTAAATGATACCTGGCAAACAGCCACCAGATTAACACTGTGAAGAGTGGCTGTCTGTGAGCCTGACCCTGAGTCTTCATCATCCTGAGTAGTGGTGGTGATACGATGTACGGTGTCCTTATGGCTTTTGGCTGAGTGCTGTCAGTGCCACTAGTGAGAAGAATGCTGCTGTTCTTCCAAAAATTACCCAATTTTAAAGATGCACCTAATACATTAACCTATTGCAGGTTAATTAGGAAGAAATGGCTCAAATTGAGTTCTAGGCTTTTTTTCCCAGAGGAAGGATTAGCTAGGACCTAGGCCTTGAGTTCCCTATAGATGAGAGGGAAATTTTATTGCCATGGAAATGACAATATTCCCTTTTAGGAAAAATGGTGTGTGTTGACTAGATCATGAAGTGACCTAGAAGTGAAAATCTCTAGTCCTTGGGCATTATATATTTTGTTGTTGTTGTATGTTTTGTTTTATTATCTGGTTTGTTTTTGTTTTCGTTTTTGTTTTGAGATGGAGTTTTGCTCTTGTTATCCAGGCTGGAATGCAATGGCACGATCTCGGCCCACCGCAGCCTCCACCTCCCAGGTTAATGCGATTCTCCTGCCTCAGCCTCCCTAGTAGCTGAGATTACAGGCATGTGCCACTGCACCCGGCTAATTTTGTATTTTTAGTAGAGCTGGGGTTTCTCCATGTTAGGCTGGTCTCAAACTCCCGACCTCAGGTGATCCACCGGCCTCGGCCTCCCAAAGTGCTGGGATTACGGGCGTGAGCCACCACACCCGGTCTTTATGATCTGTTTTTAAAGGCATGTGATTTTTGTTTTTTTGTTTGTTTGTTTTTCTTCTTTTTTGAGACAGGATCTCAGTCTGTTGCCCAGGCTGGAGTGGCGTGGTGCGATCTCAGCTCACTGCAGCCTTGACAACTCCTGGGCTCAAGGGCTCCTCCCATCTCTCAGCCTCCCCAGTAGCTGGGACTACAGGTGCATGCCACCATCCTCTGCTAATTTTTGTATTTTTTGTAGAGATGGGGTTTCATCATGTTGCCCAGGCTGGTCTCGAATTCCTGGGCTCAAGCAACCCACCTGCCTTGGCCTCCTAGTTTTGGGATTACAGGTGTGAGTCACCAGGCTGGCCAAGGCCTGTGATTTTTGATACATGCAAAAGAATACAAACAATATAATTACAGAATAATAAAATGAGCATCCATGCTTCTAGCACCCAACTTAACTAAAACGTTACTACTATTGTTGATGATGATTATTGCTTTTGATGTAGCTTGAATCAGCTAATGAGGAATAGATACCTTTCTTACTGGGCTGAACATTTTATAGGGATTATCTCATTATTGTTCCCAACTAGAGTTGAAAAAACTAAAACCTTAGTGAAATCCAAATTTTGACTTAGTAAATATCAAAATTGTGGTTCAAACCACTTCTATCTCCAAATCCATATTCTTTCACACTTGATATAGGTTTTCATTTGTTCTTTCATATATTCACTTACTCATTGAATACCTGATATCTTTCATGCAAATTTTAAAAATACCACCTTTAGGCCGGGGGCGGTGGCTCACGCCTGTAATCCCAGTACTTTGGGAGGCCGAAGCAAGTGGATCACCTGAGGTCAGGAGTTCGAGACCAGCCTGGCCAACATAGTGAAACCCCGTCTCTACTGAAAATACAAAAAAATTAGCCAGGTGAAGTGGCGCGTTCCTACAGTCCCAGCTACTTGGGAGGCTGAGGTAGGAGAATCGCTTGAACCCAGGAGGTGGAGGTTGCAGTGAGCTGTGATCGTGCCACTGCACTCCAGCTTGGGCAACAGAGTGAGACTCTGTCTCAAAAAAAAAAAACAAAAAACAAAACAAAACAAAAAAACAGAAAAAATAACAGCTTTATTGAGATATACTTAACGTACCATACAACTCCCCCATTTAATGTGTATAATTCAGTGTTTTGTTGTGAAACCATCACCACAATCAATTTTAGAACATTTTTATCAACACAGAAAGAAATGCAGTACCTTTTAGCTATCACTTCTCAATCTTCCCATCCCATCCGTAAGATCTAGGCAACTGTATTGCCCAGGCAGGAGTGCAGTGGTGCGATCAAGGCTCACAGCAACCTTGAACTGCCGGCTCAGGCAATCCTCCCACCTCAGCTTCATGAGTAGCTAGGACTGCAGGTGTGTGCCACCACCCTCAGCTAATTTTTAAGTTTTTCATAGAGACAGGGTCTTACTTGGCCAGGCTGGCCTTGAGCTCCTGGCCTCAAGCAATCCTTCTGCCTCCTCCTCCCAAAGTACTAGAGTTACAGATACGAGCCACTGCACTTGGCCTCTAGGCAACTATTAATATACTTTCTGTTTTTACAAATTCACCAATTCTGAATATTTTATATAAATGGAGGCTGGGCGTGGTGGCTCATGCTTATAATTCCAGCACTTTGGGAGGCTGAGGTGTGTGGATCACTTGAGGTCAGGAGTTTGAGACCAGCCTGGCCAACATGGTGTGAAACCCCATCTTTATAAAAAATGCAAAAATTAGCCAGGCGTGGTGGCAGGTGCTTTTAATCCTGGCTACTTGGGAGGCTGAGGCAGGAGAATCACTTGAGCCTGGGAGGCGGAGGTTGCAATGAGCAGAGATTGTGCCCACTGCACTCCAGCCTGGGCAACAGAGAGAGACTCTGTCTCAAAATAAATAAATAAATAAATAAGGAATCATGATATGTGGCCTTTTGTAAGCATGACATTGTGCCTAACTTTTTTCACTTAGCGTGTTTTCAAGGTTCATCTGTGTTGTAGCATGTATCAGTACTTAATTCATTTTTATTGCTGAATATATGGATATACTACAGTTTGTTCATTCATTAGTTGATAAACATTTGAGTTGTTTCTACCTTTTGACTTATGAATAATGCTGCTATGAATATTGGTATATAAGGTTTTGCATGGACATGTTTTCATTTCTCTTGGGTATATACGTATGAGTGGAATTGGTGTGTCATATGACAACTGTAATTAGCATTTTCAGGACTGCCAGACTGTTTTTCAAAGTGGCTACATCCTTTTGCATCCCTACTAGTAGTGTGAAGCTTCTGATTTCTCTACATCTTTGCTAGTATGTGTGTGCGCGCGTGTGTGTGTGTGTGTGTGTGTATTTTTTTAAATAATGGTAGCGTCTCACTATGTTGCCCAAGCTGAGAGTGCAGTGACTGTTCACAGGTGTGAACATCACATGCTACAGCCTCGAACTCCTGGCCTCAAGTGATCTTCCTGCCCCATCCTCCTGAGTAGCTGGGACTACAGGCATGTGCCATCATGCACAGCTACTTTCCACATCTTTGATAACACTTCTTATTGTCTTTTTACTATAGCCATCTTACTGAGTGAAAAGTGATACCTTATTGTGGCCTAATGACTGACAATGTTGAGCATCTTTTTGTGTGCATATTGACCACTTGTATATCTTCTTTGAAAAAATGTCTATTCAGAATTTTTGCCTATTTTTAAATTGGATTGTTTTTTGGTTACAGAGTTCTTTGTATATTCTAGATATGAGTCCCTTTTCAGATATTTTTTATTTTCTTGATGATGTCTTTTGAAGAATTGGGCTTTAATGAAGTTCGTTTAATCTATTTTTTCTTTTGTTGTTTGTGCTTTTGGTGTTATATCTAAGAAGTCATTAATCCAAGATCATGAAAGATGTATGCCTTTTTTTTCTGGTATATAGAAATTGACTTTATATGTATGCCTCCTTTTTTCTTTTCAGAGTTTTATAGTTTTAGCTTTTACATCTAGGTCTTTTCCGATTTTTAAGCCTAAGTTTTTTAGGTTTTTTTTTTTTGCCTTGAACAGAGAGAGATATTACTAAATGTCAGTTTTGTTTTAGTTTTGATTGCTAATGTTTTGGTGTATTTCCTTCTAATGTTTTCATATACATGTGTACATGCTCTTATGCATAGACATATGTGTGCACATGTGTACACACACACACACACACACTTTTTAAAACCAGATGGAAGTTTTGTTGACTCTGACTTCCTGATTGGAAATGCAAGCAACTCTCACTTACTACAGGAAAGAGGGAGTCACAGTGGAATGTCTTATTTTAGAAGTAGTATATAACCTTTGGGAATAGTAGTATAAACAGATTGTGCATTTTCAGATTTTTATTTTTATTTTTATTTTTTCGAGACAGAGTCTCGCACTGTCGCCCAGGCTGGAGTGCAGTAGCGTGATCTTGGCTCACTGCAAGCTCCGCTTCCCGGGTTCACGCCATTCTCCTGCCTCAGCCTCCCGAGTAGTTGGGACTACAGGCACCCGCCACCAGGCCTGGCTAATTTTTTGTATTTTTAGTAGAGACGGGGTTTCACCGTGTTAGCCAGGATGGTCTCGATCTTCTGACCTCGTGATCCACCCACTTCAGCCTCCCAAAGTGCTGGGATTACAGGTGTGAGCCACAGTGCCTGGCCCATTTTCAGATTTTTAAATCTCATTGTGAACATTAACCAAACTTGTGTTTTGTATCTATATCAAAATCTTCTCAAACAAACTTACTCATTCAGAATTTATGATAACTTGGATGTGCTATCCCAACATGTTTTTTGTTTATTTGTTTGTAGTATCTATAAATTGAACTCTAGGTTAAATTGCCTGACCTTGGCTAGGTGTGGTGGCTCATGACTGTAACCTCCACACTTTGGAAGGCTGAGGTGGGAAGATGGCTTGAGCCTAGGAGTTCAAGGCCAGCTTGTGCAACATAGTGGGACCCCCCATCTCTACAAATAATAATAATTTTTTAAAATTGCTTGACCCTTTTTTAGGTGGAGATGGGGTAAGATTGTATGTGTGTGTATACAGTTGCTCAGTAAATATCTCTTATGAATGTTGAGTGTTGTATGAGTATTAAATATGTAACAGTAGGTTTTAAATAATTTTTCCTGTTATTCTCATAGGTAAACCATTCTTATCAGACCATATGTTTATTTTTCTATTAGAAAATTTCTGTCTTTCTGTACACACACACACACACACACACACACACACACACACACACACAGATCCAGATATTCCTCGACTTCCAATGAGGTTACATTGTAATAAACCTATCATGAGTTGGAAATTTTTAGGTCAACAGTGCACTTAATACACCTAACCTTCTGAATGTCATAGCTTAGCCTATCCTACCTAAAACATGCTCAGAACACTTATGTTAGCCTATAATTGGGCAAAATCATAAAACACAAAGCCTGTTTTATAATACAGTATTGGATATCTCATGTAATTTATTGAATACTGTACTGAAAGTGAAAAACAGGCTGTATGAGTACTTGAAGTATTGTTTCTACTGAATGCATATTGCTTTTGCACCATTGTAAAGTCAAAAAACCATAAGTTGTATCATTGTTAAGTTGGGGACCACCTGTATATATGTGTTTATATATAATATTTATATGTACAAATGTATGTTTATTCGAAGACACAAATATAATTGAATGTTTGATTATGATATCTATTGTGGGCAAAAATAGTACCTTAATGTCAACCTAGAATTTTCAAAGTACATTATTATGCATTATTGTCACCCTCTATAAAATAGGTAGATGAGAAACAGAAGTCCAAAAAGGCTAACTCTCTTACCCCAATTTACACAGCTAATATATGCTGGAGGTTTCATGTGAACCCAAGTATTCTGATTTTTTTAGACCAAGTCCTTTTATTCTATGATGTCCTTTTGGGGGAATCAAATCATTGATTGTGTCAAAATAAATCTAGATGACACTATTCAACTTTATAGTGACTTTCTTGCCTCTTTCCTTCCTTCCTTTAATAAGTGTATGAATATGACATATTTACATATTTGGTTTTTTAGGTATAATTAACATTTTTAAAAGGAACAGATTTTAGATATTCAGCTCAATGAGTTTTGACAGTTGTATACACCCATGTAATCACCACCTAAGATAATGAACATTTCACCCCAGAAAAGTCGTTCATGCGTCTTTCCATTCAGTCCCTTCTCCCTTACCCCATGCAACCACACTTCTGATTTCTGTCTGAAGTTTTGTTGTTCTTGGATTTCATGTAAATGGAGTGCACGAGATGCATTCTTTCATGGCTGGCTTCTTTTGTTTAACATGTTTTCAGAGAGTCATCCTTGTGTGGGTATCAGGTTTGTGTTTGTTTTAAATTTTGCTGAGTAGTATTTCATCGTACGAATTTACCACAATTTGTTTATCCATTTTTCTCTTGATGGATGTTTGGGTTTTTGTCTGTTACAAATAAGGTTGCTGTAAACATTCTTGTACAAATCTTTTTGTCAACCAATATTTTCATTTTTCTTGGGTATCTAAGAATAGAATAGAGTCGATGTATATTCAATTTAAAATAAACTGCCAGTTAGTTCTTAGAAGTGGATGGATCATTTTATAGTCTCCTAAGCAGTGTACAAGTATTCCAGTTGTTCCACATCTTCACTAATGTTTGATATCTGTAGTGTTTTTGATAGTAATCATTGTAGGTATGTGAAATAGTATCTTATTGTGGTTTAAATTTGCATTCTTCTGATTCCTAAAGATGTTGATTATCTTTTCATGTGTTTATTGGCTATTCGTATATGTGTGTGTGTGTGTGTGTGTGTGTGAAGTATCTGTTCAAGTCTTTTGCGTACATTTTATTAGGTTTCATATTTTTTACTAATTGTAAAAGTTGTTTATACATCATGGATACAGCCCTTTGT
Organism: Homo sapiens; assembly: GCF_000001405.40. Taxonomy (NCBI): domain Eukaryota; kingdom Metazoa; phylum Chordata; class Mammalia; order Primates; family Hominidae; genus Homo; species Homo sapiens. The sequence goes on along the minus strand of NW_025791761.1, from coordinate 230,400 downwards.
CAAACAGATGTGTTGTGGATATTTTTTTGCCAGTTTGTGACTTGTTTATTACTTTTATTAATGATGTTTATAGTAGTTTTTAAAGAAAAAGTAATTATGTAGTTTTTTGGATAGATCCAGAAACTTAAGGGAGAATAAATTTAAATATCTTTTCAAATTAACAAAGCAGAATATTAAAAAATCTAAATGGACTAACCTTTAGGTACTTTCTAATGGTCTCTTTGGTAAGTACCTGTTCTTTTTTAATTGTTAAACTCGAATCAGAGATTAGTGATAAACTTACCTAGCTGACTGCATTACCTCTTTCAGAGAGTATATACTCCTGAGTGGATGGAAGTCATGAAACTCAAAACTTATTACTCAGCAAAGTGCTAATGTTGCAGGTGAATTTTCACAACCCTATGCGAACACACTTTCTGGAGAACACGTTCTTTCCCTTTGTGTCTTGCTTTCAGTCTGCATAGTGCTCTCAAATGAGTTAGTAGTGCACAAGACCTCGGTGAGGCAGAGAGCATGGTTGTGGGAATGGAATGGTTATGCCGAATGCAAAATCTATGACGATCTAGGTCAGTAGTCTTCCAAACCTAGAATCTTTCAACTCTCCCATGCTTTTTCTCAGCTTAAGCATGTGTCTACACACACCACATACACACACCCTCCCTTCATATCGGTAAAGCAAAAAGCCCACATGTTAGGCGGAGCATTTACTAATCCTGGGGGCCAAGATCTGTAACTAGCCAGCTCCTTATGATGAAGAATTCTATGTCTTCCTCAGCAAGCCAAGCTTGTATATCTCTAAAGAGTAGTTTGGAAACAGCTCTTCCACCTCTCATCCCCAGGAATTAGTGTAGTCCAACTTTATGCCTACATACTTATGTGAACACATATAGATATGCATACAAGTTGAAAATCCTTATATATTTATGTCAAAAGTGGCTTATGATAGGTACACAGGGATTTTCATTCTTGCTGTCTTAGTTCATTTTGGCTGCTATTAAAAAATACCTTCGATGGAGTAATTTATAAACAACAGAAATTTATTGCTCACAATTCTGGAGGCTGGAAGTTCAAGATCAAGGTACCAGCAGATTCAGTGTCTGGTGAGGGAGGGCTTGCTCTCTGCTTCCAAGATGGCACCTTGCTGCTGTGTGCTTGCATGTACCTTGCTGCTGTGTGCTTGCATGTACCTTGCTGCTGTGTGCTTGCATGGTAGGAGAGACAAGGCAGCTCCCTTCAACCTCATTTATAAGGGCACTAATCCCATTCACTAGGGCAGAACCATCATGACTTAATCACCTCCCAAAAGGCCCTACTTCTTAATACTATAATGTTGGATATTAGTTCCAACATATGCATTGTGGGGAAACACCAATATTCGGATCATAGCACTTCCCTTACCCTAGTTAGGAGTATATGTAGTGTTAATTTGTAACACCCTCGCATATATCATCACTCAGCAATGAGCACATTGCATTTATTTCTTTTAAACTATCACTATCCTATTTTAGAAAGAACCATAGCATTTCCTATTGCTTTACAAAAATATGAACGGTTGGTGGTGTGCAAGGCTGAGTCACTGTCTGTTCCTGTTCCTCTTGAGTCAGTCCTAGTGACAGCTAGTTCTGTGACTTTTACTGTTTATCTGGTTATTTTATACGCACATACTGTGTTCATCTGGAGTTGATGTGACCTTAAATAAATTGAAGTTAGATTTTCATCAGTCTCGATAAGGGAAGACTTTATAATGAGTTGCTTAGATTGGATATTTTGTGGTTGGAGGGAAATCATTTCAATCTATAGGAGACAACAGATCAAAGAAGGAAATAAACAAAGGACTTGGCACAAGCAGGGCCCAGCCTCCAACCTCTTTGTGAACCTTGCCCCAGGGGTAGGATTGAGAGGGCAGAAGGTTGAATAGGCCTAATCCTGTATACAGCCCCTCGGCCTTTGGCACTGTGGAGGCATGGTGACATCTCAAAATTACATCCTTTTCCCCGCTAACTTTTGCTGTCAGCTTTAGTTGATTTTCTCATTAAAAAATTCATATGATATAAGATTAAATGGAAGTTTTTTATTCTTTCCATTTCTGTTATATATGGGTAACCCTCATTCAAAATGAGATTTGTTCTCTTTTATGTATCTTTTAAACTCAGTTCTAGAACAAAGAAATGACAACAGAATACTGAAAAATAGAAAGCATCTAAGTCTGTTTTAGTATTAATGTTTGTATCTCTTTTAAAAAATAGGCGGGAAATTTAAGCAATTAGAGAATTAGAAGCTAATTTTGGTGATTTCATGAGTGAAAAAAATTCAGCAAAGGTATGATATAGAGTGGTATGTTATCTAATGTAAGCATTAGTAACAGAAGCAGCAAGATGCCAAATTTAGCAATGTCCATTTACATTTATATAGCTGTGTATCATTGTGATTTAATTTAAAATTTTATATATCTTAGTGTCGATTATTTCAGGTCACTAGCTATATTTGATTAGGTTTTTTGATGTTCATATATAATAAGCTTTTTAAAAAACCTTGGGTCCACAGTAACTAACGCCAACCAGTTTAAAAAATATATTTGCCAAATTACCAAATTTACCATGAAGAAGAATATGCGAGAGAAGACTTAGTCTATAAAGAAGCCATTGTTTCTAAGACCAGGTCTGTTTCTTGTTGTTGTTGCGTAGTTAATACATTCATATGTTTTGAAATTTAAAAGGTACAATAGAGTATGCTATGAAAATTATTTCTCCCAGCTATTCAGTTTCTCTTTCCAGGAGGCAATCAATGTTTTAATCTTTAAGCCACTTGGGTTTTGAGAAACTTAGGTAAATTTTGACATATTTATGATCAAATGTGTGCCTAATATTTTATGTTCTGTTTTTGTCATTTGGCGTGATTTTATTATCAAATCATATTGCCCAATTAATAGCATAGAATTGTATCTACTTAGCTGTTTTATTGGGAATTTGAATTTCTTCCTGTTCAATTTTGCTGCTATTAAAAATAGCAAACATTAGCATATTTGTAGAAATACAGGTACTATTTTTTATTGAAAAGTTACTGTATTTATGAAATTCTCTATATTAAAGATTATATTTACTGCAAGCAGTGCTTTTCCCCTTTGGAAAGCTGTTATTAATGATATCATTTATAATCAATAGAGTCTTAGAAGAAATATGGTATTTCTCTGTATTTGTTTCGCAGAGAGGAAACACCCAGTTCAAGAGTTTGATAACATCATAGTCCCTCATTCTGAGTTGCTTGATTTATTACCAGTATAATTGAACTAATCTCAGATTTTACTCCCCCTTCCCTATCCCCAGTTTAATATGTAGGATAGAGAGAGTGGTCAACCTCAGAATCCGAAAAAGAACAGTGCATATTTGCCATGTGTGTTTCCCTTTAAGCATTATAAACATCCAGAGTTTTAGACAAATTATTACGTTGGTACAAAAGTAACTGCGGTTTTTGCAGTCTTTATCTTTGCTAAAATTATTCAGCGTTTCTGGAAAGTATTTGCCTTATGTTCCTAGGCCTATCATGAGGTTTTAAAAATGTATACTAATTACTAAAAAAAAAAAAATTTTAAGAGATAGGGGTCTTGCTCCATTGCCCAGGCTGGCCTTGAACTCCTGGGCTCAAGTAATCCTCCTGCCTCAGTCTTGTGAGCAGCTGGGACTACAGGCATGTGTCATTGCACTTGGCTTGTATGTTAATTTTTAAAACATATACAAATCATTAATTGTCAGAAGTTTTCCTCCTTCAAACATAGGCATGAAACAAACTTACAGATGTGTGCCTTGCTATAGTGTCATTGATTATTTGCACTCTTACTTGCTAGATTATATGTGTTTATAAATGCACATCAATTGAGTTTTGTGGTTATGTCCTGTGCGTTGTTGGGATTTGGTATGTGTGCTAGGTAACTAATCTTCAAAGCATACAACAATTAAGGTGTATGTATTTTTAAAATGTAGTCCCAGCTGGGTGCAGTGGCTCACGCCTGTAATCTTAGCATTTTGGAAGGCCAAGGCGAGTGGATCGCTTGAGCCTAGCAGTTCGAGATCAGCCTGGGCAACATGGTAAGACCCCCATCTCTACAAAAAATACAAAAATTAGCTGGGCGTGGTGGTGCACGCTTGTAGTCCCAGCTACTCGGGAAGCTGAGGTGGGAGGATCACCTGAACCTGGGGAGGTTGAGGTTGCAGTGAGCTGTTCCTGCCACTGCACTCCAGCCTGGGTGACAGAGTGAGGCCCTGTCTCAAACAAACAAACACAAACAAAATGTAGTCAGTTATTTCTTTTTATTGTACCATTTTTGTAAAGTTTCAGTAGAAAGCCTATTACTTGTATACTTCAAAAAATTTGAAGCATTGTTAAAGGAGTATAAATCTCAATCAATTATTTCTAAAAGAGAGAAGGAAGAGGAGGAGGCAGCTGTGGGGTGGGGGTGGGGGACACGGATTGGAGTACTCCTGCCCAGCAGGATGTTATAATTTACTAATGATTACAAACATGAAAGACCTTAGTATTTATTTAAACATAATGTCCACATTTAACACTTGGCACCCAGGGACTGACACTGTCTGGTAGTGGCAAATTTGGGGGAATTAGAATAAAAATTTGTGGTTCTATTCATTTTTAAATCTGCTTTAGTTAAAACATAAAGCAGATATGCAACCATTATTTAAGATAGTCTTTGCAACCATTATTTAAACAAGAGATTTCAGGGAAGTAGTAAACTTTTTCAATTGATTTGGTCTTTAATACTAGCTACAGGAGCAATTACTTGGATTATCATTTTAACATAATTTTTCATGCAGCAATCCTTTTGAAAGTATTGTTTGCTTAGATTGAAACATTAAAGTGCTTCCTTCTGCCTGCAGTACAACAGATTCAAAGAGAGAGAAAGGCAGGCAAATCAACATGTAAAATTGGGTCAGTACATCGTTGGGGGACCTGTGTGCCAGTGGTCTGGATTGTGTCGAGTTGAGGAGTTAGAGGAAACCATGAGAGAGAGATAGCAAATTGCTGCACCTCCCTGCTCGAAGGACAAAGAGGGGATTAAGGCCCTGGGGAATCCAGGACAATAAGCTGTCCATGAAGAGGGAAGGAATTTAGTATCAGTGCTGGCAATTTTGAATATTGAAAGGAGTTAAGGAGTCAGGATTGGAATAGGGGTAGTTGGGGGATTTATAGTCCCAAGGCAATTAGGAAAATGGGCTGAGCCATGTTCCTGCCCCTTGGAAGCGGGTCTGGGAGGGCTTTGGGTTTTAGATAAGTGAGCAGGAATGTGGGCAAAGGTTGAGCACTGAAGTGCCATTGAAAGCTGCATGTGAATTTTTAGGTGTTCTATACCTGTGGAATTACAGTGCCCCAGATTTCATATTTCACATGTGATTATATACAATGATTATAATGATATGAATATCATTATGAATATTATATGAGTATGGTTATGATTACATAATATAAACAGCTACAGTTGAAGATGTACAAATGGGATTTTTCATTTCATGAAAGGAGATATATATTTTATTTATTTTTATATATCCATAGTCACACACATTTTTTTCTTTCTTACAGAAACCAAAAAAAAGAAGTTGGTAGAAGTTTTGTTAAACGTTTTTTTTTTTTCTCTACTAGTTAACAGATTTCAGATGCAAATATACTCTCATTATCCAAATTCAAATCTCTGTCACTCACCACAGGAATATAGAATGTGGCTTTGATCTTGAGGGTGTTGTACTCATGGTAACTAGATGTTCCATTTCTCAGCTTTGCCTTGAAGAGTTTTTCTGGTTTTGTCTTGAAATGATACTGAAATTTATCTTTCTAAATTCTTCCCTTTTGTGTGGGTGTAGCCATGTACCTGTATCAGAGTTTTGCTTAGGATAATACATTTTAGAATTGGAACTGGAGGAGACTTTTCCCCTTCTGACTTAAGGCACCAAAGTAGTTTTAATTGCTCTACAATCCAAGGAAGCAGAAGCAAGTGGGTCTGCTGCCAAGAACGCTTACCACAAAGAGGAAAAAAATAATTGTAGCTCTGAATTTTAGCTCTGGCTTGTAAAATATGACAGTCTTTTACTATCTCTTTTTCTTTCATTGAGTACCTTGCTGCCACATCTGGCTCCGCTTTTTTTTCCAAATGGGTTTATTTTGTTATTTTGAATATGGCTGGGGTGATCCTGGAAAGACTGGTCTGAGAAACAATCTTGACATTTCAGCTAGAAACAAACCCAGAGGTAGATTGATCTGAGACAGAGTTTGGGACCATCCCTCTGAACCTCTCCAGGGTTGGCCTAAGTGTCAAACTGTCATTCCCCCCTGAGGAAGGAAGTTTCACCTCCTTCTTTTCAAGATAGCAAGATGTGGAGGCTTTGCTGGATTTTCCTTTTTTACGCTGCCAGTCGGGCTCTGATGTGGAATCTGCCTGTCTCTTCTCCCTTGCCTACAGGCTGGAGGCTCTCAGGTCATTTTTACCAACCCATTGGAGATAGTGAAGATTCGTCTGCAAGTAGCTGGAGAGATCACCACGGGACCCAGAGTCAGCGCCCTGAATGTGCTCCGGGACTTGGGAATTTTTGGTCTGTATAAGGTGGGTAGGTTTAGGTTATAATGTACTCAATAAAATATGAAAGAATGTGGAAACCAGACTTCTTCCCTCCAAGTTGAAAAGCAATCTTGTCCAGCAGGGTAGTCTGTGGAGCAGAAAATCAAACAAAAAGAAAAGAATCAGGACACTTGTATGAGAGGCAGTGGGATACACATGCAGCCTCTCCTGTTGTCATCAGGCTTTTATGAAACTGCCAGCAAGGAGGCCAGCACCGCAGACCTGCTGGCCTCAGGCTCACAGCCTTTCATTTGCTGGGGGGCTTGGGAAAACTTTCCCTGGTGCTCTCTTTGGGTTGGTTTAGGGCTTCAAAATAGTCTTATGTTTATTTTCGGTCTGATTATCTCTATTGTTATCTTCCCAGTGGGAGCTTTTGTCTTAATAATTTGACCACAGTAAAACAGTAGTAGAGTTTGGTAGGATTCAGGTCTTTAAGAAGTTAAGTGGTAGGATTTGTCAATAATGAATTCCATTAAAAAAAAAAAAAACAAACCAACAACAGAGTGTACTGTACTTTAACAAAATGCCAGTCAAAAGATTCCTTCCCTGCGGGTATACTTACTCCCATCATTACAGATCAGATGTAATGGAGCAGAAGCTATTATTTTTCTTAAACAAGGAAGAATATTTCTTTCCATTCCTTTGCCTGGTATAAGGGGAATACGTAAATTTAGCCACCATAGCCAAGTGTGTTTCCACAGCATCTGATATAGATCCATCACTGCAGAAATGTGTAAATTTGTTTCGGTAACTGCAAATTAGAAATTAGAAATTCTCTAGATTGGAATCACACAGCTACAGGGTTCTCTGGAGACCAGCAAACAATGATGCCTGTCTCAAGAGAGTTTCGTACACATTTTTGCTTCCTCCTCCCCACTCCCAATTTCCATCCTTTTTGAATTCCCTTTGAGAGATGAATTTATTAATATTGCTTCTCTCTGTATTATCCTTTAGCGAGTCCTTGGATTTTTTTTTTTTCAATGTTTGAGTTTGTCTTTTTTTAAAAAAGCCAGGGCTGGGAGCACTGGCTCACACTTGTACTCTCAGCACTTTGGGAGGCCAAGGCAGGGGGATTGCTTGAGCCCAGGAGTTCAAGACCAGCCAGGGCAAAATAGCAAGACCTTGTGTCTACCTTAAAAAAAAAAAAGAAAGAAAAAATTAGCCGGCACAGTGGTGCACACCTATCATCCCAGCTACTCAGGAGGCTGAGGTGGGAGGATCACTTGAGCTCAGACGGTCAAGGCTACAGCAAGCTGTGATCCTGCCACTATGCTCCAGCCTGGGCAACATAGTGAGACCCTGTCTCAGAAAAAAAAAAAAATTAAAAAGAATAAAACAGAGTCATTAAAAAAACAAGCGCCAAGGTGGAGTGTTTGCCTAGCTAGGTAGTGGAATGGTGTGGGCTTCTGACAAAGCTGAGGGAGGTGTTCTTTGAGACCTCAGTCATTGGGACAAGCTGCCCCTGGGTAATGATTTTCTACTCCTGTGGAAACCTGCCGCTAAAATATTTTGTCTGCTATTTAGGACATGGGGAATGAGGAGAGAAGATTTGGGTTTCTTTTCCCCCTGCTCTAGAGTAGTTACTTTTCCTTCACCACTGCCTATAGCTTTTTACCTGGCACTGCGGGGACTCTCAGCTGATGTAAAAACTTAAGAGGGTAGATCTTGTGTGTTTTTACCATAGTAAGAGATTAATTAATTTTAAAAACTCTGAATCTATATAAGAAATGCCAGAAAGTTCTTAGTTTTCAGAATACTATCATTACCCAGTTATTAACTCTAGGACTGCAGGATTCACCATGCTTTCACAAGCTTTGAGATATGCAGATTTCCCTATTCCCCACTTATCTCCCGCCTCCCCCATTTCCCTTGCACATCAGTTCTAATGCTGTTTAAGGGACACCTCAGGCTTGTCACTGAGGGACACCTCAAGCTTGTCACTGACAAATGTCACATGGATCCCATTTGGGCATTCACACTCAGTTTCACACTGTTTTGCACTATTTCCTCACTGTGTGACAGGGTGCCAAAGCGTGTTTCCTCCGAGACATTCCCTTCTCTGCAATCTATTTTCCTGTTTATGCTCATTGCAAACTACTTCTGGCTGATGAAAATGGACACGTGGGAGGTTTAAATCTTCTTGCAGCTGGAGCCATGGCAGGTAACTACAAATTTTTTTTTAACTGAAAGAATTCTCCCATTATTTAAAAAGTACAGAATCTCTATGTACTTTCCCCCTTTATTTCTGGAAGTATTATTGTTTGTACCTGACTTAGTTTAAATATCACTTTTTCTCCTTTGTGGGATGTGCTGTAATTCTGATGAGAGTTAATTACATTTGCATAATGTGGATAAACAGCTTAATGCAGCTTAGCAACTCAGAGCCAAATTAGATCTGCCCATCTAAATTGGGCTTTCATCATTAACATGTTTCTTAGTTTCCTGTGCCCCTGAAACCTTGAGTACAGCCAAGCTAAGCATTAAGGTGGGAAAGTTTTTCCTCAAATCAGTTGCTTAGCTGTATCTCATGCTCATGCACAGATCTAGCATGCTCTTACTTTCTCTCTTCTGTATATTGGAATCTACATGATTTGGCCGAAAATTGAGCTTTTGTCGTGAAGCTGTCCCTCTTCTTCCTACCATTGCCCTCATTAGACCAAAGTAAGCAGTACCCCTCAGCAAACCACCTTGAACTCAATTTTTGTATTTTTTCTAATCGTTAACACTTTGTCATTAGCCAGGTGTAGTGGTGCGTGCCTGTAGTCCCAGCCAGCTACCCGGGAGGCTGAGGTGGGAGGATCACCTGAGCCTGGGAGGTCAAGGCTGCGGTGAGCCGAGATGACACCACTGTACTCCAGCCTGGGTGACAGAGTGAGAGCTTGTCTCAAAAAAAAAAAAATTTGTCTTTTATTAATAGTTATTTGCATAATTGTTATCCTCTGTACTAGGCTAATAGCTTCTTGAGGGCAAGAGTTTCATTCTCTTCATCCTTGCCTTTCCTACGTGGCCAGTGTAATAGTAATAGGTGCTCAATAAATGTCAATAACATGAATGAAAACCTTCATGTCGTCTAAGATACCAAATTAGGCACAGAAGAGATTTCATTTGAAAGAGGAGCCTTGTAAGAGCAGGGAGGTACTAAGATGCTTCCTTCTGACCTCATAGGTACAGCCTGACTCTTGAGTTAGGAAGGAGCTGACTTGGAATAGAAGGAGAGAACCAGGTGTCCTTGGCTGCACCAACACTCTGAAAAGACAAAGGAAGGAAGGGGTGCATGTTTGCTCTCTATACAACCAGTAATGAACCATTACAGAGCTCAGTGTGGCTCTGACCAGCCAGGCTTATGTTCACTGTGTTGCTCTTCCTTGCTGGGCTCATTCTCCTCTGGAGGCTCTGGCTAAACATCAGGGCAACCTGAGCAGCTCCCGGAGTGTGCTGTGCTTGTTGTGTGGTAGGAGCCCTTGGGCCTGAGAGTGTTGCGATGGACCACGTTGTTCTTGCTCGTGAAGACAGGGATGACTTTGATCATTAAGAAACGGCCCCAGGGAACTTACCGCCCTTATTTGGGGCCCAGCAAGTCCTTTCTCCTCTAGCAATGGTAATTTTAGTCAGTTTTGTGTTTAAAAGCCAGTAAAGTTACCTGCTCAGTCTTGGCAGTGAGCTGTTTGTAGCAGCCCCTTTCTGGTACTTACCAGTCTCCCACTTTTTTTTTTTTGGTGAGACAGAATCTTGCTCTGTCACCCAGGCTGGAGTGCAGTGGTACAATCTCTGCTCACTGCAACCTCTGCCTCCCGGGTTCAAGCGATTCTCCTGTGTCAGCCTCCCAAGTAGTTGGGACTACAGGCGTGTACCACCATGCCTGGCCAATTTTTGTATTTTTAGTAAAGACAGGGTTTCACCATGTTGGCCAGCACAGCTGGTCAGAGCCACACTGAGCTCTGTAATGGTTCATTACTGGTTGTATAGAGAGCAAACATGCACCCCTTCCTTCCTTTGTCTTTTCGGAGTGTTGGTGCAGCCAAGGACACCTGGTTCTCTCCTCCTTTTCCAAATCAGCTCCTTCCTAACTCAAGAGTCAGGCTGAGGCCGAGCTTGGTGGCTCATTCCTGTAATCCCAGCACTTTGGGAGGCCAAGGCGGGCAGATCACGAGGTCAGGAGATCGAGACCATCCTGGCTAACACGGTGAAACCCCGTCTCTACTAAAAATACAAAAAATTAGCCGGGCGTGGTGGCGGGCTTCTGTAGTCCCAGCTACTGGGGAGGCTGAGGCAGGAGAATGGCATGAACCTGGGAGGCGGAGCTTGCAGTGAGCCGAGATTGTGCCACTGCACTCCAGCCTGGGCGACAGAGTGAGACTGTCTCAAAAAAAAAAGAGAGTCAGGCTGTAAATGTGAGGTCTCAAACTCCTGACCTCAGGTGATCCTCCCATCTTGGCCTTCCAAAGTGCTGGGATTACAAGCGTGAACCACCACACTTGGCCCAGTCTCCTACTTTTAAATGGGGGCAGCATTTGCCTTCCAGGCTTTTCCTTGTGCTTTCCAATCAACAATGAAAAACAGCCAGAGAAGAAGAGTCTAATTGTGGACAGGTGTTTGCAAGTGGTTGAACCAAGTAAATATTTCCATGGAACTGTCAGCACCGACTTCTTCCCCATAGACATTTGATGTCAGTTTTCAGAATGAGATTATTTTTTCTAATTTTTACCAGTCAAGCTTTGCTAGCAGGAACTGAGAACATTCAGAAGTCTGCCTCCAAAGGCAGGAAGTTTACCTAGTTTCATCTGAATAGGGTGCAAGGCCATGCCAAGGGGAAGTATTTGCATTATTCCCTAGCAGAACCTCGTACAAGGCTGCCAACTCCATCCGCCTAGTGAGGATACAGTGATATTCAGGCCAAATTGAATTTCTTCCCCCGGGGAAGATTATTTTGCTCCTTTGCTCTCTGTTTTGTTTTATAAGTAAAAGGTGTGGTTGTGAAATCCATCTTTTGTGTCCTGCTGCTGATCAATCTCAACATGACCCCAGGGAGCTCGGGCACAGGGGCCTTTCCCTGACCAGCTCCCCTGTTGTTTCTTAACTGGCTGCCTGGCCACCTCTTGCTCCAGTTGTAATGACTTTTGTCATGTAAGCATGTCTGAAAGGAGTCACAGTCAACTCTCAAGGTAGCCCTTCAAACAAGCGAGTGATTATAAGTATTGATATTCACTTCCCACACTACGACAAGAATCAGCAAAAACAGTAGTTTGGTGTCAGATACATTTAGTGACTCACTAAGATGACATTATCATTTTTTTATACATAAAAATACTTGTATCTTATTTAAGAAAAAAAGGAGGTAAAATAATTGAAACTGAAAGGGAACGCTTGGGAATTGTCTTATTAATATTGCTACTTTTTTTTTCTCTCTCACAGTTATTTGGGATCATGCAATGTAGAGTGATTTTTTTTTTAATTCAGGAAAAAATAATAATAATTTTCCCCTGATCACACTGCAACAGCTAATAGGCTTCTATGCCCTTTTCCCATTAATGGCCAGACATCTATGTAAAGAGTTTTGAGTTCCGCTCAAGTGGTTGAAGTTGCAGGCTCTATAGTAGATGTTAGCAGTATTCCTATCTTTTATAAGGTACTCTAGATAAATTAAATGTGGTTTTCTCCTGAAAGGTGTCCCAGCTGCATCTCTGGTGACCCCTGCTGATGTCATCAAGACAAGACTGCAGGTGGCTGCCCGCGCTGGCCAGACGACATACAGTGGTGTCATCGACTGTTTCAGGAAGATTCTCCGGGAAGAAGGGCCCTCAGCATTTTGGAAAGGGACTGCAGGTAGGCAGGGGCTGGAGCCATACAGAATGGCTGGCTGGCTCTAGCGTCCTCCCCTGTGACTCAGTGGCTATCTTTACCACATTTGTCCTGGTTTCAAGTCTCCCCTGCCCCTGCTTCTCTTTTTCAGCTCGAGTGTTTCGATCCTCTCCCCAGTTTGGTGTTACCTTGGTCACTTATGAACTTCTCCAGCGGTGGTTTTACATTGATTTTGGAGGCCTGTAAGTCAGCTGCTCAACTCCTTTACAAAGAAATCACTAAGTCCAAAACAAATGTTTGTTCTGTCTACAAAAGCATTGTTGCAACTCTTAGAAAACTGATAAGACAGAACCTTTAAGACCAATGCATTTAAAACAGTGAGCTTAAGAAGCATTTGTGTTAAGCAAGTAAAACTTGACAGAGTGACATCGTACATAATATTAAGCAGCTATTTGGGGGATTTTAGGGAAGCAGCAAATTTTTTTAAAAAAGACAGGATATCCTCTGTTGCCCAGGCTGGAGTGCAGTGGCATGTTCTTGGCTCACCGTAGCCTCAACCTCCCGGGCTCAAGCGATCCTCCCACCTCAGCCTCCTGAGTAGCTGGGACCACAGAGGCATGCCACCACACCCAGCTAATTTTTGTACTTTTTTATAGAGATGGGATCTCACTGTGTTGCCCAGGCTGGTCTCGAACTCCACCAGCCTTGGCCTCCCAAAGTGCTGGGATTACAGACATGAGCTACCGTGCCTAGCCAGGAGGCAGCAGATTAAAATGCTGTGTAAATAATTGTCTTTTTTCACATAAGCAAATACTGAACTTCATGGCGTTCTCATTATGTGGATTTTATTATATGGCCCTTTCACAGAAGTAATGTAAATGTATACCAGTAACACTTTTGTGCATTTTCTTTCAAAGTCCCAAGCCCTTTTGCATCTCTGATATTTCATTATTCACCACAATTTATTATTAGTTAGGTGCAGATGTTCTTGAAGCTAATTTACTGGAAAAACCAATAGGTTTGAAGAGAGATTTTGCCCATGGATATAATCACTAGTGAGCTGTAGGCCAGAAATTGGGCTTCTAAAAGCTTACCACTTGAAGCTTGCACTGAGAAGAAGAATTACAAGTTGAATTTTCTGGGTGGGGAAGTTGTACCCAAAGCAAGCAATTATTAGCTTTTCAGCAGAAGACCAAGTACCATTCCTGAGTCCTCACATCAGAAACCTGTGAACTCCTCTGTGCCCAAAGGCCATATAGGGAATCAGCTGCTGAACCAAGTGGAGGGACCTATGCAAAAAAAGTGAGAACAGCAGTCTTACAGTTGCATTGTAGAAATGTGAGGCTTCAGGCTTTTCCATGCTTCTTTCATCTTCTGTAAAAGAACTAAAGCTATTTCTCTCTCTCTCTTTTTTTTTTTTTTTTTTTTTTAGACGGAGTCTTGCTCTGTCGCCCAGGCTGGAGTGCAGTGGTACGATCTCGGCTCACTGCAACCTCCACCTCCCAGGTTCAAGTGATTCTCCTGCCTCAGCCTCCTGAGAAGCTGGGACTAAGGGCGCCCACCACCGCGCCTGGCTAATTTTTTTTTTTTTTAATATTTTTAGTAGAGACGGGGTCTCACCGTGTTAGCCAGGATAGCCTTGATCTCCTGACCTCATGATCCGCCTGCCTCGGCCTCCCAAAGTTCTGGGATTACAGGCGTGAGCCACCATGCCCGGCCTATCTCTCTTTAAATAATTTAATTGATAATCTTTATGAGTCTACTACATAAAAAGTTAACTTCTAAAGTTATGTCAAAAGAAAAATATATACTTTAAAAATTACTTTCATATGTGCTAAGTGCAGAAAATTTGGAAAACCATAAAGCATAAAAGAAAAAAACCAGCCTGGGTGTGGTGGCTCACACCTCCCAGTGCTCTGGGAGGCCAAGGCAGAAGGATTCCTTAGACCAGAAGTTCGAAACCAGCTTTGGCAACATAGCAAGACCCCATCTTTACAAGAAGAAAAAAGAAAAAAATCATCCATAATCTTACTACCCAGAGAGTCTTCATATTTGAGTGTCTTTTCTTCTGACTTTTTTCCTATGGATTTGTTTATATATGTATGCAAGCATTGGAAATAAGGCCATTTCTCTTGTAAATCAAATATGTAGATAAGTTGCTGTCAAAGCAGCTATAAATCATGACTGTGGTTTCTAGTCATGCAGCACAGATGCCATGGAAATGGTTGAGAGAAACATTCTTCTTTGTGGCACATGGGTCAGACCGAAAATGTCCAGCTGTAAGCTGCGCTCATCCACCTTGAGCATGCTAACCATTGGCTTTTTTTCTGTCAACAGCAAACCCGCTGGTTCAGAACCAACACCTAAGTCACGCATTGCAGACCTTCCTCCTGCCAACCCTGATCACATCGGTGGATACAGACTCGCCACAGCCACGTTTGCAGGCATCGAAAACAAATTTGGCCTTTATCTCCCGAAATTTAAGTCTCCTAGTGTTGCTGTGGTTCAGCCAAAGGCAGCAGTGGCAGCCACTCAGTGATGAGACAACTGTTGAGTGTGGCAAAATGGCGCCTTGAAGAAAGAGGCCTAGGAGAGCAGCCCTGTAATGTATCCAGTCAGCTGCATGGTACTGACTGAGCTGAGGAGTCAAACTCTTCTTTCTGTATGACATATACATATACTTGTTTATAAAATAATCATTTGCCCAGGGAAAAAACCACAACGCTGTTTCAAGCTTTAGTCTTATGTGTTGAAATGTTTTTGTAAGCCTTGGCATGAATTAGTGTTCTAGACTCTGCTTTGCACAGCTTGCACTTACAGTGATTGTACATATTGTACATCTTTGTACAGAGACATCTTGGCACCTCATCCCAACAAATCACATTTGTAGAAATGTAATGCGGTTCTGAGTGGCTTGAAATGTACAGAATGTTTTGAAAGTGTTTTATTAAGAATCACACAAAAATAAATGTATTAAAATTAAATTCATTCTCTTATTGGTGACTTATGGAAATAAAGCATCAATATTGGATGTATTTAATTCCTAGTTTGTTTTCCATTCTGGAATAAAAAGGTATTTGCTGATAAAAGGCATAACGAGACATAGTGCTGCTACCACTGAATAAGTGATACTTTGGAAAGATGCATGCCAGTGGATGCCAGAGGACCAGGCTAATGACTTGTGTGTGCTGATGTGTTTCCATTTGTATTTAATGTGTGTAGACCCTCCTCTGTTCATCAATCAAAAAGCATTTCCTAGGCAGCTCCTCGCCTGTCAGTGTGCATATGGAAACAGGGACATCTCCATCATTACTGGCTTAGTTTTGCTTTCCTTTGACACAGTAAGGCAAAGGCCAAGCTTTCAAAAGAGTAAAGGATACTTTCACAATTTCCCTTCATATGGATATGATTCCAGTCAAAAATAAAATGCACACCAAAATGTATACATGTAGTTGGATTTTTCTTTGTAAATATACTGATAATACTTTTTGTTCTGATTGACTACTGATTGCAAATAACTCATGATCGGGTTCGCCCTTTCTTCCACCTTTATAGAAAACAGAAAAATTAGTTTTAGAAAGGGCTAGCGCAGAGTGAAGGGAGGGAAGAAGAAAGAGAAGAAAAGCTCTATATGGTGATTTAGTGGGGTCTAGGTTCTTACTTTGGAATCCAAATGCAAACTGTTCTAAAAGTCACTCATCAAGGGCGTGATTACTAATTTGGATCTAAACATAGATCTTGACAGCCACATCTACACTTTGATATGGATGTGATTTGATGTGCAGTATCAGAATTTATTTACCTTACCAAAGTGCTCTGGGAAGACATTATTGCTACTGCCAGTAAGCTGGGATATGAGAATGTATGCAAATATTTTCAAGAGGCGAGCCTGGAGACAGACCAAGTTACTTAGTATCCTGCACAGTGCTCCTCGATTGATGGCTGACAGCCCTGTGACTGCAACTGTAGGCTCCCTGGAGGCCCTCCAGGAACAAAAGAATTAGCTTTGAAAGCAAGTTATTTTCAAATGTATTAGATTGGTCTCATGGGAGTGGAACAAATAATAATACAGTTGTTTTGCTACTACCACTTGTTAGAAATATATAAGTAGTCCATGGATATGTGATTACAAAAGAATCCTATGTATGTATCTAGAGTGAGATGGGAAAGTGTCCCGCTTACCCTCCTTCTACCTCCACCACTTCCTGGCCCAGAGGTAATCACTGCTAACAGGTTACAGCATGAATATGTAGTCTGTTTTTCATAACTCTATAGAAATATATGTACATATTTATATTTTAGAAACAGGATTATGTTATGTGTGTGTTATTCTGTGTCTTGCTTTTGTTCACTTAATGTGTTTTGGATATCTTTCCATGTCAGTTTATAAAGTTTTATTTTTAATGGCTGCATAGTATTTCATTGTATGGGTTATAATACTTTTCATAAATCTTCCCTTATTGATATTTATTCATTTTTTTCACTACTGCAAACAATGCTGTAGTGAATGGCAGACATCTTTGTACACATATCTTTAGTGCATGTGAATTTCATTAGGATAGATATTTGGAATTGCAATTGAAAACTTTTAAGACAAGCTTTATGTTTTTATACATATTGCCACATTGTTCTTCAAAAAGAGTTATTAATTTACTTTCCTTTGACAGCATATGAGAATGCCTATTTCTTTGCAACCTCAGCAAAGAGGGATATTATCAGTCTTTTACATTTTCAGCAAATCATGATAGCTGATCATGGTTATTTTATTTTTCTAATTACTAGTGAGATTGAATGTCTTTTCATATTTACTGGTCATTTGTATATTTTCTTATTGTGGAATATGGACAAAGTACATGAAACATATGTATGCATGTCCACAACAGATATGTACACACATACATATATATTTTTTAACATATCATAATGTGCATACCATATGACCACCGGGTCAAGAAATAGAACATCTCCAGTACCTCAAAAGCTCCATATATGTCCCTCCCTAACACAACCCTCTGTCCACTTTAACATCATCCCTACTCTTTGCTTTGCTTTTCTTCATAGTTTTACCACCCATGTATATGTCTCTAAAGACCATATTTAGTTTCTATTTTTGGAATTTATATGAA
This sequence comes from Homo sapiens, assembly GCF_000001405.40. Classification (NCBI taxonomy): domain Eukaryota; kingdom Metazoa; phylum Chordata; class Mammalia; order Primates; family Hominidae; genus Homo; species Homo sapiens. Next base: position 212,859 of record NW_025791761.1, on the reverse strand, counting down.
TCAAATTATACTGTACACTTTTGAGACTGGTTTCTTTTGCTAAGCATTATGAGATTCATCCTTATCATTGTATGTAGCCATAGTGTGTTTATTCCATTGTATGAATGTATTACATTACATATACTTTTTTCATTTTACTCTTGATGGACAATTTGGATTTTTTCCACTTTGGGGATATTTCAAACAGTGCTTCTATGGATATTTTGAACATGTCTTCTGGAGTTTGCATCTTTAAAAGGACATATACATAAGAGTGGAACCTAGATCATGCCAACTGTTTCCCGAAGATTCTCATACTGATTTACATTCTTCCCAGGGTGTATTGGCTTTTCCCCAGCCCCCCAGTCTGGTAGATGTATAATGGTATCATATTGTAGTTTAAATGACCATTTTCCTTATATGGAAAAAAAATATGAAAGGTGTTCATGAGGCTGATCACATTTCATATATTTTTTGACCATTTGGATTTCATCTTTGGTGAATGAAGTGTGTTAAAGTTCTCCCATTTTTCTCATGAATTTGCAGGTGGTTCTTTATATATTCTGGCTACTACTCCTTTATGAGTTGTGTTGCAGAATCTTTTCCCACTTTGTGGTTTGTCTTTTCACAATGTTTATAAATATAGTAACATTTTAATTTTAATATCTTCAAATAATAGTTTTCCTTTATGGTTAGCTCGGTTTTTTTTATGGTTATGTTAAAAATATAGTTAATATTCTCTTGTTACATGCTTTGTAGTTTTGCCTCTCACATTTTGGTTTCATCCCACTTGGAACAATCTTCAACATATAGTATGAGGTAATTTTTTTGCTGCTATAGGGCTAGTCTGTTGTGCCAGCACTGTTTATTGAAAAAAAACAAAAACAAAAAACCTTCCTTTTCCTATTGCTTTGAAGTGCCTTTTCTGTTGTATATTGTCAATATATGCAAAGATCTTTTATGGGCTCTTTATTATATTGGTTTTTTTCCTGTGCTAATGTACACTCTCTTCATTACTTCATGATCTTCAAAAAAATTTTTGATATATAATATCAAAGTCCTTTCACATCCTTGTTATTCATCAACAGCTTGTGGCTCTTCTTGGTTCTCTGCTCTTCTTTATATATTTTAGAAATAGCTTATCACGTTTCACTAAAAAAAGCCGAACACATTGAAAATTTGATTGGAGTTGCGATGAATCTATAAGCTATTTTGGGAGAATTTATATCATAGTGGGCCTTTCAATCCATGAACATGATATATTGCTAAGTCCTTTTAATGTCTTAATAAAATTTTATTAATCACCAAGAAGGTCTTGTAAATCTTTTGTTACATATATTCCTAGGTACATCATATATTTGGATGCCATTATAAATATCTTTTTTGGAAATGTCATTTCTGGTATGTGGGAATATAATTCAGTTTTTTCATAACATTGGAAGCCAGTTGTCTTACAGAATGTCTCACATTATTTATCTGATTGCTTCCTCCTGGTATCGTCTGACGTGTTCCAGTACAATAAAGTGGAAGTTAGTCTAGCAGTACAGTTTTCTTTCTGACAGCTTTACTGAAGTATTTACAGAGCTACATAACCATCACCACAATAAAATTTTAGTGTATTGATATCATGCTCCAAAATGTAAAATGTATCACTTTATACTCCCACCAGTAATGGATGAGTGTTACAGTTTCTTCACATCCTTACCAATACTTAATTATTGACTATCTTATTATAGCTATTCAGTGGGTGTGAAGTGATACCACATTGTGGTTTTAATTGCATTTCCCTAATAACTAATGTCGAGCATTTTTTCATGTGCTTATAGACATCTATGTTTCTTCAAATCTTTTATCTATTTTTTAATTGGAGTTTGTCTTTTTATTATTGAGTTGAAGTAGTTATTTATATGTTCTGGATGTGAGTCCTATATCAGATTTGCAAATATTTTCTCCCAGTCTGTTTTCTTATTGGTGTCTTTTGAAGCACAAAAGCTTAACATTTTTATTAAGTTCAATTTCCTGTTTTTGGTGTCATCTAAAAACTGGTTAAACTAAGGTCATGAAGATTTTCTGTTTTCCTTGAAAAGTTTAGTATTTTAGTTATTACATTTAGGTCTATGATTATTTTGAGTTAATTTTTGTATATGGTATGAAGTAAGGATTTAAATTCATATTCTGTATGTGAATATCCGATTGTCTAATTACTATTTTTATTTTATTTTTACTTTTTGTGGAGATGAGGTCTTACTATGTTGCCCAGGCTGGTCTCAAATTCCTGGCCTCAAGCAATCCTCCTGCCTTGGCCTCCCAAGGTGCTGGGATTACAGGTGTGAGCCACTATGTCCAACCTCAGCACCATTCTTGAAAGGCAATCCTTTCCTCAGTGAATTGCCTTGGTGTTCTTTAATCAACAATAAATTGACAATACCTGTAAGAGTTTATTTGTAGACCCTCATTTCTGTTCCATTAATCTATATCACTATACTTATGCCAGTATCACAATCTTGATTATTGTAGCTTCACATTAAGTTTTGAAATAGGGAAGTGTAAATCCTCTAACTTTGTTCTTTTTCAAAACTGTTGTGCTTATGTTGGATCTTTTGTATTTCCATATAAACTTTAGGATTAGCTTGTCAATTTCTTCAAAAAAACCAGCTGTTCTTTTTTTGATAGGGATTTTGCTGAATTTATAGATCAATTTGGGAAGAACTGCCATCTTAACAATCCTTAGTTTTCCAATCCACACACTGGGGATCTCTAATTAGATCTTTAAAATTTCAGCCATGTTTATATTTTTCAGTGTACAGGTCTAATACCTCTGTTAAATTTATTCCTAAATATTTTATTTATTTTTTTGAGACAGTCTTGCTGTGTCACCCAGGCTGGAGTGCAGTGGTGTGATCTCGGCTCACTGCAACCTCCGCCTCCCAGGTTCAAGCAATTCTCCTGCCTCAGCCTCCTGAGTAGCTGGGATTACAGACACACACCACCACGCCCGGCTAATTTTTGTATCTTTAGTAGAGACAGGGTTTCACCATGTTGGCCAGGCTGGTCTCGAACTCCTGACCTTGTGATCTGCCTGCCTCGGCCTCCCAAAGTGCTGGGATTACAGACGTGAGCCACCGTGCCCGGCCCTTAAATATTTATGATGTTTTTATTAATGTAATTTTCTTCATTTTCAGATTATTCATTGTTATACAGAGAAACAGCTGATTTTTGTATGTTGATTTTGTATCTTACAACCTTGCTGAACTCACTGGTTTTGATAATTGGGTTTTATTTTCTATGTCTCTTCTTTTTTTTTCTTGTTCCTTTCTTTCTCCTTTACTGCTTTCTTTTGTGTTAAAAATACATATTTTATAGTGTTCTATTATAAGTTTTTTGTTTTAACTATTTTTTGGAGTTATTTTCTTAGTGATTTATCTAGGGGTTAAAATATATGTCTTAATTTATCACAATGTACTGATTCATATTAATTCTGGAAAATATATTCCAGTAAGTTCCAGTAAAATATAAAAACATAGCTCTAATATAGTTCCATTTCTTTCCCTCCTTTTGCTATTGTCATATATATTACATTTGTATATATTGTAACCACACAGTAAAGTTTTATAGTTACTGTTCCTTGCAGTTGTATTTTAAATCAAGATAAAAAATATATGTGTAGTCTTATATTTACCTATATATTGCCTTTATAGGTGTTTTTCATTCATGTGAATTCGAGTTACCATCTGCTATGGTTTGAATGTATCCAACAAGCTTCATGTGTTGAAAATTTAATCCCAAATGCAACCATGTTAAAAAGTGGGACCTCTAAGAGGTGATTAGGTCATGAGGGCTCTGCCCTCATGAGTGGATTAACATATTTGTCTCAGTAGTTGGTTGGTTATCACAAGAGTGGGTTTGTTATAAAAGTCGGTTTGGCCCTTCTTGCTCTCACCCGTCTTGCCCTCCACCAAGGGATGATGGAGCACAAAGGTCCTTGCCAGATGCCAGCACCATGCTCTTGGACTTCCCTGCCTCCAGAACTGTGAGCCAAATATCTGTTAATTATAAACTACCCAATCTGTGGTATTCTGTTATGGCAGCATAAAATGGTCTAAAACACTACTGCTATTTCTTTTTAGATAATAGGACTTCCTTTAATAATTTCTTGCAAGGTAGGTTGTCTAGCAACAAATACCGTCAGTCATTTGTTTAATAATGTCATTATTTTAGCTTCATTTTTGAAGAATAATTTTGCTGGACATAGAATTCTTGACTGACAGGTTGTTTTTTTTTTTTCCTTTCAGCTTTGAATATGTCATCTTCCTGCCTTACGGCATCCATGGTTTCTGATGAGAAATCAACTGTTGATCATATTGTTGTTCCCTTATATATGGTAAGTCATCTTTCTTTTGCTGCTTTCAAAAATTCCTCTTTTTGAATATTATGTGCCTAAATGTTGATCTCTTTTTATTCCGTTTGCTCACTGTCTTTTTTTGTTTGTTTGTTTGTTTGTTTCCTGAGACAGAGTCTTGCTCTGTCACCCAGGCTGGAGTGCAGTGGCATGATCTTGGCTCACTGCAACCTCCACTTCTTGGGTTCAAGTGATTCTCCCACCTCAATCTCCCAAGTAGCTGGGACTATGGGCGTGTGCCACCATGCCTGGCTAATTTTTGTATTTTTAGTAGAGACAGGGTTTTGCCATGTTAGCCAGGCTGGTCTTGAACTCCTGACCTCAGGTGATCCACCTACCTTGGCCTCTCAAAGTGCTGGGATTACAGATGTGAGCCACCGTGCTTGGCCACTCCCTGTTGTCTTCTGCAGTATAGAGTTCTGAAATTCCAATTATACATACATTGGTATGCTTGATGGTGCTACACAGGTCTCTGAGGCTTTCTTCATTTTGCTTCTTTTTTTCTTTTAGTTCTTCAGATTTTCAGGTTTTAAGAATTCCTTCTGGTCGGGCATGGTGGCTCACGCCTGTAATCCCAGCACTTTGGGAAGCCGAGATCACACCATTGCACTCCAACCTGGGCAACAAGAGCAAAACTCCATCTCAAAAAAAAAAAAAAATCTTCTTGGTTCAGTTTTGTTAAATTTTAAGTTTTCTAGGAATTTTTCAGTTTCATTAATTTTTTTTTTTTTTTTTTTTTTTTGAGACGGAGTCTCGCTCTGTCGCCCAGGCTCAATCTCTGCTCACTACAAGCTCCGCCTCCTGGGTTCATGCCATTCTCCTGCCTCAGCCTCCCGAGTAGCTAGGACTACAGGCACCTGCCACCACGCCCGGCTAATTTTTTGTATTTTTAGTAGAGATGAGGTTTCACCATGTTAGCCAGGATGGTCTTGATCTCCTGACCTCGTGATCCTCCCGCCTCGGCCTCCCAAAGTGCTGGGATTACAGGCGTGAGCTACTGTGCCCAGCCAGTTTTATTTAAATTTTAAAAGTATTTTATTTTTAATGTCTGTAGCATTTTAAATTATATGTAATAAATGAAATAAATGAAATACATTTAATTAAATAATAAATAAATAAATAGAGACAAAGAGAAAGGGTCACTCTGCCAGCCATGCTGAAGTGCAGAGGCACCATTATAGCTCACTGCAGCCTTGACCACCTGGGCTCAAGTGATCCTCCCACCTTGGGCTCCCAAGTGTCTGGAGCTACAGGTGCCTGCCACCAAGCCTGGCTAATATTTTACTTTTTATTTTTTGTAGAGACAGGGTCTCACTATGTTGCCCAAGTTGGTCTTGAACTCAGGCTCAAGTGATCCTTGCCCCTCAGCTTCCTAATGTGCTAGGTTTATGGGCATGAGTCACCACATCTGGCCCTATAGCATTTAATATTTCTTCTTATTCATTTCTGATATTGTTTGTGACTTCTTTCTGTATTTTAATGATTCAGTCCAGAGATTGGTCAATTTTATTAGTTTTTACAGAGAACTGACTTCTGGCTGTGTTGATCCTTTTTTTTTTTTTTTTTTTTTTTGACAGAGTCTCGCTCTGACACCCAGGTTGGAGTGCAGTGGCATGACTTTGGCTCATTGCAACCTCTGCCTCTTGGGTTCAAGTGATTCTCCTGCCTTGGCCTCCCAAGTGGCTGAGATTACAGGTGCATGCCACCATGCTTGGCTAATTTTTATATTTTTAGTAGAGACAGGGTTTCACCATGTTGGCCAGGCTGGTCTCAAACTCCTGGCCTCAAGTGATCCGCCTGCCTCAGCCTCCCAAATTGCTGGGATTACAGGTGTGAGCCATCAGGCCCAGCTATTTCGTTAATTTTTGCTCTTATCTGTTTTTCTTCTATTTTCTTAGGCTATTTTGCCATTCTTTCTTTTCTTTTTTTTTTTGAAACAGAGTCTCATCTGTCATCCAGGCTGGAGTGCAGTGATGCAATCTCGGCTCACTGCAACCTCCGCCTCCTGGGATCAAGTGATTCTCCTGTCTCAGCCTTCTGAGCAGCTGGGATTACAGGCACCCCCACTATGCCTTGCTAATTTTTGTTTTTTGGTAGAGACGGGATTTCACCATGTTGGCCAGGCTGGTCTTGAACTCCTGACTCCAAGTAACCCACCCACCTCAGCCTCCCAAAGTGCTAGGATTACAGGTGTGAGCCACCATGCCCTGCCTACCATTCTCTTTCTAACTTCTTGAGATGTCTCTCTCTCTCTCTCCCTCACCCTCACTCACTCTCTCACTCTCTCTCAGATAGGGTTTTCACTCTGTTGCCCAGGCTGGAGTGCAGTGACATAATCACAGCTCACTGCAGCCTTGACTTCCCAGGCTTAAGTAATCCCCCACCTCAGCCTCCCAAGTAGCTGGGACCACAGGTGTATGACACCAAAGCCAGCTAATTTGTAATTTTTTTTTTTTTTTTTTTTGGTAGAGATAGGATTTCCCTATGTTACCCAGGCTGGTTTCAAACTCCTGGGCTGAAGGAATCCTTCCATCTCAGCCTCTTAAAGTGTTGGGATTACAGGTGTGAGCCATTATGCCCAGCCCCTCATTATTATTATTTAAAGAAAGCTAGGACATTTTCACTATTTTTTTAAGAACTCTTTTCTAATCATCATATGCTAGAAACTGAGAAGGAACTCTTCATTGATTATTATTTCTTCTTGGACTCATGAGTTATTTAGAAGAATGTTTCTTAATTTCAAAATTTGGGAAAATATATATTAGTTTTTTTTGTTTTTGTTTTTGTTTTTATTGATCATTCTTGGGTGTTTCTCCCAGAGGGGGATTTGGCAGGGTCATAGGACAATAGTGGAGGGAAGGTCAGCAGATAAACAAGTGAACAAAGGTCTCTGGTTTTCCTAGGCAGAGGACCCTGCGGCCTTCCGCAGTGTTTGTGTCATTGGGTACTTGAGATTAGGGAGTGGTGATGACTCTTAACGAGTATGCTGCCTTCAAGCATCTGTTTAACAAAGCACATCTTGCACCACCCTTAATCCATTTAACCGAGTGGACACAGCACATGTTTCAGAGAGCACCGGGTTGGGGGTAAGGTCACAGATCAACAGCATCCCAAGGCAGAAGAATTTTTCTTAGTACAGAACAAAATGGAGTCTCCTATGTCTACTTCTTTCTACACAGACACAGCAACAATCTGATTTCTCTATCTTTTCCCCACATTTCCCCCTTTTGTATTCGACAAAACTGCCATCGTCATCATGGCCCGTTCTCAATGAGCTGTTGGGTACACCTCCCAGACGGGGTGGCGGCTGGGCAGAGGGGCTCCTCACTTCCCAGAAAGGGCGGCCGGGCAGAGGCGCCCCCCACCTCCCGGACGGGGCGGCGGCCGGGCAGAGGCTGGCCCCCACCTCCCTCCCGGACGGGGCAGCTGGCCGGGCGGGGGCTGCCCCCCACCTCCCTCCTGGACGGGGCGGCTGCCGGGCGGAGGGGGTCCTCACTTCTCAGACGGGGCGGCTGCCGGGCAGAGGGGCTCCTCACTTCTCAGACGGGGCGGCTGGGCAGAGACGCTCCTCACCTCCCAGATGGGGTCGCGGCCGGGCAGAGGTGCTCCTCACATCCCAGACGGGGCGGTGGGGCAGAGGCGCTCCCCACATCTCAGACGATGGGCATCCGGGCAGAGACGCTCCTCACTTCCTAGACGGGATGGCGGCCGGGAAGAGGCGCTTCTCACTTCCCAGACTGGGCAGCTGGGCAGAGGGGCTTCTCACATCCCAGATGATGGGCGGCCAGGCAGAGACGCTCCTCACTTCCCAGACGGGGTGGCAGCCGGGCAGAGGCTGCAATCTCGGCACTTTGGGAGGCCAAGGCAGGCGGCTGGGAGGTGGAGGTTGTAGCTAGCCGAGATCACGTCATTGCAGTCCAGCCTGGGCAACATTGAGCACTGAGTGAACGAGACTCCGTCTGCAATCCCGGCACCTCGGGAGGCCGAGGCTGGCGGATCACTCGCGGTTAGGAGCTGGAGACCAGCCCGGCCAACACAGCGAAACCCCGTCTCCACCAAAAAAACACGAAAAGCAGTCAGGCATGGCGGCGCGCGCCTGCAATCGCAGGCACTCAGCAGGCTGAGGCAGGAGAATCAGGCAGGGAGGTTGCAGTGAGCCAAGATGGCAGCAGTACAGTCCAGCTTCGGCTCGGCATCAGAGGGAGACCGTGGAAAGAGAGGGAGAGGGAGACCGTGGGGAGACGGAGAGGGAGAGGGAGATATTAGTTTTTATTATTGATTCCTAACATAATTGCATTGTGGTCTAAGGACACACTATCTATGATTACAATCCTTTTGAAATCCTCTTGGCTCCATAGATCGTCATTTTAAAATAAATATTGCATGAACACTTACAAGAATATGTATTCTGCTATTGATGGGTACTCTGTGTGAGGGCATGTGTGTACTCACTACTTTCACACATGGCATTATTTGGTCAAGTACAGCAATTTATTTAAAATGTCTATATCCTACTTTTTGTTTGCTTGTTCTGTCAATTGGTAAAAAAACAAAAAGCATGTTAAACTTTCCTATTATAATTTTGTATTTTCTATTTCTCCTTGTAGTTCTGTCAATGTTTGCTTTTTACATTTTAAGGTTATGTCATTAGGTACATCAAGACAAATTAAGAGCTTCCAGATGAATTGATTCTTTTGTCATTGTCTCTTTTTTTAATCTCTAGTAATGCTTTTTGTCTGAAAATTTATTTTTTGATATTACTGTAACTATATTTTTCTTTTTTAATATTTACAAGGAAAATTTTCTCTGTCCTTTTATTTTCACATTTTCTCTAATTTGAGGTATGTCACTTATAAGCAGCATATATTTGCATTTTTAAAAAAGTGTAGTCTGACTTCACTCTTTCAGTGGAAGCATTTTAGTTCATTTAATGTAATTACAGATATACCTTATTTGTATTTAAGTATAACATTTCATTTTGTGATTCCTTTGACCCATCTCTACTTATTTTTAATATATTCTTGGGTGTTTTAGAGCAATTATTTTTATTTTTCTATTCTTTTCCCACTGTTTGGAGTTTATGTACTTTGTTTATTGTTTTAGTAAATCTATAATATGCATACTTAATTTTCTAAAATTGAAGTTGGATTGATTCACTCTGCTCTTTTTTATATAAGGATGTTAGTACACTTGAAGACTTGGTATTATCCTACAGTGCAAAAGCTGCTTAAATGCTCACCTTACTGCTCTAGGTTCTGGCTTTTCCTTAGATTGCTGACTTATATTCTCAGCTTTTCAGTGCTTTGAAAATTTTAAACAATCTAGCATTTTTAGTTTTTAGTGCTGATACAAATAACATAGCCTGCCATCTTCCTAGGAATGAAGTTCCCTATTTGTGTGCTTTCTGTGAACTGCCTACTTTTAAATTTTAAATAGGGTTTACAATTTTTTTCTTTATTGACTTATAGACATTCTTTGTTATCTGGATATCAACTCTGCAATATTTCTACCAACCCTTTTCTGCGCATATAATTTTTTTTAAAAAAAATTGAACACAGGATGAGGCGGCAAATCTTTTTTTAAAAAATTAATAAACTTTATCTTTTAGAGCAGTTTTAGGTTCATAGCAAAATTGAGTGGAAAACAGAGTTCTTATATACCACTTTCCTTTCCCCACACTTGGACACCCTTCCCCGAATCAATATCCCACACCACAGTGGTGTATGTTTGATGAACCTACATTGACTCATCATTGTCACCCAAAGTCCATAGTTTACATTAGGGTTCACTTTTGGCGGTGTACATTCTATAGGGTTTTTTCTTTTTCTTTTTCTTTTTTTTTCTGCTGTGATCACTTGGTTCTAATTGATAGGTTTTGACGAAGATATAAAGACGTGTGTTTATCATTGTAAAAAATAATTTAATTGCCCTAAAAATACTCTGCTCTGCCTATTCATCGCTCCCTTCCCCCAATTCCTGACATCCCTCCCTTCCCCCAATTCCTGACAACCACTAATCTTTTTACTATCCCCATAGTTTTGCCTTTTCCAGAGTGTCATATACTTTGAGTTACGCAGTATGTATCCTTTTCAGATTGGCTTCTTTCACTTGTTTTTTTGTTTTGTTTTGTTTTGGTAGAGATGAGATCTCACTATATTGCTTCGGCTGATCTTGAACTCCTAGGCTGAAGTGATCCTCCTGCCTCAGCAGGAATATCAATTTAAGTTTTTTGTATGCCTTTTTGTGGCTTCATAGCTCATTTCTTTTTCATGGTGAATAATATTCCAAAGCCTGGATGTACCACAATTTATTTAGACACTCATCTACTAAAGGACATCTTGGTTGCTTCCAAGTTTTGGCAATTATGAATAAAGGTGCTATGGACTTCTCTATGCAGGTATTTGTGTAGACATGTTTTCAGCTCATTTGGGTAAATACCAAGAATTGCAATTGCTGGACTGTATGGATAGAGTATGTTTAGTTTTGTAAGAAACTGCCAAACTGTCTTCCAAAGTGGCTGTACCATTTTGCATTCCCATCAGCAATGAATTAAGAGTTCTTGTTGCTCCATATACTTGTCAGCATTTGTTGTTGTCAGTATTTTGGATTTTGGCCATTCTAATTGGTGTGTAGTAGTATCTCATTGTTGTTTTAATCTGCAGCTTCCTAATGACCTATGATGTGGAGGAGTATCTTTTCATATGCTTACTTGCCATCTGTATGTGTTCTTTGGTGAAGTGTCCCATTCAGGTCTTTTGCTCATTTTTACATTAGGTTGTCTGTTTTTTTTTTTTTTTTATTGTTGAGTTTTTAAAGTTCCTTGTATTTTTTTGGATAACAGCCTTTTATCAGATGTCTTTTGCAAATATTTTCTCCCAGTCTATGGCTTATCTTTTCATTAACTTCACATTGTTTTCCCAGAGGCAGAAGTTTTAAATTTTAATGAAATTGGCTTATCAATTATTTCTTTCATGGATCATATATTTAGTGTTGTATCTAAAATATTATTGTCATACTCCAGGTTATCTCCTTATCAAAGGTTTTTCGCCTTTGTTATCTTCTAGGAGTTTTATAGTTTGTTTGTTTGTTTGTTTTTTTGAGACGGAATCTCGTTCTGTCGCCCAGGCTGGAGTGCAGTGGCGTGATCTTGGCTCACTGCAACCTCCACCTCCTGGGTTCAAGCCATTCTCCTGCCTCAGCCTCCTGAGTAGCTGGGACTACAGGTACACGCCACCATGCCCAGCTAATTTTTGTATTTTTAGTAGAGGTGGGGTTTCACCATGTTGACCAGGATGATCTCGATCTCCTGACCTCGTGATCCACCCACCTCTGTCTCCCAAAGTGCTGGCATCATAGACGTGAGCCACCGTGCTAGGCCAGTTTTGTGTTTCACATTTTGTGGGCATAGAGCTGTTCATAGTATTTCTTTGTTACCATTTTCATGCCCGTGGGATCTATAGTGATGGCCCTTTTTCATTTCTGGTATCAGTAATTTGTATCTTCTTTTTTTCTTGGCCCTGGCTAGAGGCTTATCAATTTTATTGATCTTTTCAAAGAACTAGCTTTTGGTTTTGTTGGTTTTCTCTATTGATTTTCTGTTTTCAATGTCACTGATTTCTGTTCCATTTCTTTTTTCTGCTGCTTATGTTGGATTTATTTATAAGGTGAGAGCTTAGATTACTGATTTTAGATTTTTCTTCTTTTCTTATATATACATTCAATGTAATAAATTTCTCTGCAAGCACTGCTTTCACTGCATCCCATAAATTTTTAATGAGTTGTATTTTCATTTTCATATATATACGTTTTGTTTTTTTGAGACAGAGTCTTGCTCTATCACCCAGGCTGGAGTGCAGTGGCGTAATCTCAGCTCACTGCAACCTCTGCCCCCTGGGCTCAAGCGATTCTCTTGCCTCAGCCCCCTGAGTAGCTGGGATTATAGGCCTGCACCACCAAGCCCATCTCATTTTTTAATTTTTAGTGGAGATGGGGTTTCACCATGTTGGCCAGGCTGGTCTCAAACTCCTGATCTCAAGTGATCTGCCTGCCTCAGCCTCCCAAAGTGTTGGGATTACAGGCATGAGCCACTGCGCCTGCCCTCATTTTCATATATTTCAAAATATTTTAAATTTTCTGTTGAGATTTCTTCTTTGACTCATGTGTTATTTAGAAGTGTGTTGTTCAATCTCCAAGTATTTTAAGGTTTCGAGCTATCTTTATTATTGATTTCTAGTTTAATTCCTTTGAGGCCTGAGAATAGATATTATATGTTTATTCTTTTAAATGTTTTAAAGTGTGTTTTTATGGCCCAGAATGTGGTCTTTGTGAATGTTTCATGTAAGCTTGATAAGAATGTGCATTCTGCTGTTGTTTTAAGTAGTAGTAAATAGACATCCATTACATCCAGTTGATTGATGGTGTTACTGAGTTCAACTATGTCCTTACTGATTGATCTTCTGCCTGCTGGATCTGTCCTTTTCTGATAGAGGGGTGTTGAAGCCTCTAACCATACTAGTGAACTCCTTGTAGTTCAATCAGTTTTTGCCTCACATATTTTGATGCTGTCTTGTTGGGAGCATATGTAAGAATTGTTCTGTCTTCCTGGAGTATTGACCCCTTTATCATTATATAATGCCCCTTTTTATCCCTGATAACTTTCCTTGCTCTGGAGTATTCTCTATTTGAAATCAGTATATCTACTCCTGATTTCCAGGATCCCTCACAGATACCAAAATTCAAGGATGCTCAATTCCCCAAATAAAATGTTTTAGTATTTCCATATAACCTACGCTCATACTCCCATGTACTTTAAATCATCTCTAGATTACTTGTACCTAATACAATGTAAATGCACATAAATAGCTATATTGGGTTTTTATTTGCATTATTTTTATTGGGTATTGTTATTTTTAATAGTTTTTTCCCAATATTTTCAAGTTGGTTAGTTGAATCCGTGGATATAGAACCTGCAAATATGGAGGGAAGGCCAGTTGCAGTATGAAGTAGCATTTGGGAGAGCAAGTTCGCCTTCTGTGTTCATTTTCAAAATTATATTGCTTATTTTTCTATCATTTCTCTTCCATGAGTTATACAATCAACATTTTTTCAAGTTCTAGTTAAAAATTCTGTTGGAATTTTCCTTGGAAATTTATAATTTGCTTTAGGATGTATACTGATATTTGGTAATATGGGATCTTTCCATCTCAGGTCTGTCCATTTTTCAGATTTTTTAATATCCTTCAGCAAAATTTTATATTCTTAAGTATTAGGTTTTACAAACTCCTTTTATTGGTAGTATGCTTAGGTTTAAATATTTTCATTCCTATTATGAACAGAGTTATTGCCCATTACATTTTCTAACTAATGTAACAGGCAATTTGGATATGCTAATCTTATACTCAGTCATCTTAATGAACTCTTGCAATATTTTTCAGTTGGCTGATTATCTTGTCCTCTCATGGTTAAAAATTTTATCTGCAAAGGTGGTTTTGTGTCTTTTCAATATTTACATTTTATTTTCTTATCTTAATGCAGATGCTTGGACATCTACCACCATGTTAAACAGGAGGAGTGTGATAGCAAGCATCCTCGCATTTCTCTAGCATTAGTGAGAATGATTCTAACATCTCACCCTTAAGTGTGATGCTTGCTGTAGGTTTCTGATAGATACGATTTTTTTTTTTTTTTTTTTTTTTGAGACAGAGTTTCGCTCTTGTTGCCTAGGCTGGAGTGCAATGACACGATCTTGGCTCGCCGCAACCTCTGCCTCCCAGGTTCAAGCGATTCTCCTGCCTCAGCCTCCTGAGTAGCTGGGATTACAGGCATGCACCACCACGCCCGGGTAATTTTGTACTTTTAGTAGAGATGGAGTTTCTCCATGTTGGTCAGGCTGGTCTTGAACTCCCGAGCTCAGGTGATCTGCCTATTTCAGCCTCCAAAGGTGCTGGGATTACAGGCATAAGCCACTGCACCGGGCTGATAGATACACTTTATTGACTTAAGAGTTTTCACTATTCCTAATTTATTCTGGTGTTTCTTTTTTCTTTTAAAATCAAGAATAGGTATTAAATTTTATCATATACTTTTTTGCCTCCACTGAGATTTTTCTAATTTTTACATATGATTAGCAATATTAGTACATTTTCTCATAGTGAAACATTTAAAAATTTCTAGGATTAAGCCTACTTGGCTGTGATATCTTAATCCACACGTGTTCAATTTTTGCATTTTTGTTCATTCCTGAGATTGGCTTATTCTTTTGTTTTGACTTTGTACTGTCCATGTCTGGTTTGGTGTCCACTGCATTTTCCATCGTTTTCTAGTTTCTAGAATAGCTGTTACTAAAGCTCTAGAAATTGTGCCTTTAAAGCTTATGTCTTTCAGCCAGGCGTGGTCGCTCGTGCCTGTATTCTCAGCACTTTGGGAGGCCAAGGCAGGCAGATCACTTGAGCCCACCAGTTCGAGACCAGCCTGGGCAACATGGCGAAATCCTGTCTCTACAAAAAAGCACAAGCATTAGCCAGGAGAGGTGGCATGTACCTGTGGTCCCAGCTACTGAGGCTGAGATGGGAGAATCAGTTGAGCCCTAGAGATAGAGGTTGCAGTGAGTTGAAATCGTGACACTGTATTCCAGCCTGGGTGACAGAATGAGACCCTGTCTCAAAAAAAAAAGCTTACGTATTTCAAGGGAGTAATCTTTGGTAACCTTTTCAACTTCTTTTTGGTTTACTGGTCTATTTAAGTTTTTACTTCTTAGATCAACTTCACCAATTTATATTTTCCTTAGTTTTTCTTCTATATTGTCAAGGTTTTCAAATTTATTAACAAAGGTATATGCTGTATTGACTTAACTTTTGGAAAAATTCAAATGTATACAAAGTAAACAGAATACTGTAATATTTACAATTTTTACTCATCACGCAGCTTCAAAAATGATCAACTCATAGCTAATCCTGTTTCAATTATACTTCATCCATGTCTCTTCCACCCTTACTGAATTATTCTGAAACAAACCCCAGATATCAGATCACCCAGAAATATTTCCTTATATACCTCTAAGTGTTAAGGACTTTTGAAAAAAATACATAACACCACCATTTCCCCAACTCTGTCAGTCTCTTTCCTTCTCTCTCTCTCGCGCATGCATGCACACACACACACACACACACAGACATACACATATACATGCACAGTTTGAATCAGTATCCAAGTAAAGTCCATACATGGAATATAGTTGATCTCTCTCTTAAATCTAACACTACCATTTCCCCAACTGTGTCTGTCAGTCTCTCTTTCCTTCTCTCTCTCTCACACACACACTCACACAGTTTGAATCAGTATCCAAGTGAAGTCCATACATGGAATATGATTGATTTCACTCCTAAATCTCTTTTTAGTCTTTGGTTTCCCTCTCCTCCTCTTTTTTACTTGCACATAAGACTTCAGCCTGTTTGTCCTGTAGTTTCCTACATTCTCAATTTTGGTGATTGCATCCTTGTGGTGGTGTTTAGCTGTTTCTATTTCCCTGAATTTTCTATAAATTGGTAGTTATGTTCTAGAGGCTTGACAGCATTTATGATCAATTTTTTTTTTTTTTTTTGGTAAGAATACTTTGTGGAGGCCGGGTGCGGTGGCTCATGCCTGTAATCCCAGCAGTTTGGGAGGCCGAGGCGGGTGGGTCACGAGATCAGGAGATTGAGACCATCCTGGCTAACACGGTGAAACCCTGTCTCTACTAAAAAATACAAAAAATTAGCTGGGTGTGGTGGCGGGCGCCTGTAGTCCTAATACAAAATTAGCCTACCACCATGCCAGGCTAATACAAAAATTAGCCTGGCATGGTGGTAGGTGCCTGTAATCCCAGCTACTGGGGAGGCTGAGGCAGGAGAATGGTGTGAACCTGGGAGGCGGAGCTTGCAGTGAGCCGAGATTGCGCCACTGCACTCCAGCCTGGGCGACAGAGCGAGACTCTGTCTCAAAAAAAAAAAAAGAATACTTTGTGGGTGTGTTACGTGTACATCCAAAAGAAGGCACAGAATAATGTCTCTTTTGGTAACTAGCAGCCTTTGATAATTACCTTCAACCATTATTTCATCAGGAGTTGCAAAATGGTGGTATTCTATTATATCTTACATATTAGCTGAGATACTTTTATAAAGAGAAACGTAACAATTATTTGGTTACACAGAGGGGAAAAACAGGATAAATGCTTGATTTTTTTGTTTTCAAAATATTTCCCCAGCATCTTCCAGAGATGAACAATGAGAATTTCTTTGAGAAGTGTCAAAGAATTAAACATATTTGATATGTTTTAAACCTTTGGATTTTTTTTTTTTTTTTTTTTTTTTTTTGAGATAGAGTCTTGCTCTCTCACCCAGGCTGGAGTGCAGTGGCATGAGCTCAGCTCGCTGCAGCCTCGACCTCCCAGGTTCAAGCGATTCTCGTGCCTCAGTCTCCCAAGTAGCTGGGATTACAGGCACCTACCACCATGCCAGGCTAATTTTTGTATTTTTAGTAGAGACAGGGTTTCACCATGTTGGCCAGGCTGGTCTCCAATTCCCAACCTCAGGTGATCTGCCCGCCTCAGCCTCCCAAAGTGCTGAGATTACAGGTGTGAGCCACCATGGCCGCCTGGTCTTTTTTTTTTTTAATACTCAAGTTGTCTCATCTTCGGCCAGTGGGAGCCTCTTGCAATTAACTTCTAAGTCCTACCGATATTACCTCAGGATTTTTTTTTTTTTTTTTAAGAGATGGGGTCTTGGTATGTTGCTTAGGCTGGTTTCAAACTCCTTGGCTCAAGTGATCCTCCTACCGCGGCCTCATGAGTAGCTAGGACTACGGATACATGCTACTGCACCTGCTGGTTTTTTGTGTTTTTTGTTTTTGTTTTTTTGATTTTTTGTATAGACAGGGGTCTTGCTTTTAGGTTGCAGTTTCCACAGTTACTTTTGCACCAACCTAATATATTGCTCAGGTTGGTTTCAAACTCCTGAGCTCAAGCAGTCCTCCTGCCTTGGCCTCCCAAAGCACAGGGATTAGACATGAGCCACTGTGTTTGGCCCTCAGGAATCTTTGATAGCTTCCTAGCTTTCCAGTATGACAAGATGCTCCAAACTCTTCCTTTTATTTCTTGCCAAGACCAGATATTAGTAATTTCTCCACGGAGCCCTAATTCTGTATTAATTACTAAATTATTTAATTTTTAAATTTCCTTTTGCCCTGAGTTATTTAGAAGGGGATTTGAAAACTTTCTTTTCGGCAAGCCTTGCATTTAAAAATGTACATTTTAGTGCACTATGGTAAAAATACACCTACAATCACTCCTGTTGAGATATTCTGACACTTTTGGTCAATGATTCTTATTTAAAAGGGAAAGATCGTTTTATAGTCCTAAACTTGTGCCTTTTCAAACCAAAGAAAGCTATTCTAGTCTATATTTTTCTCCCTATGTCCCATCTTTTATCTCCTATTTAGATACTGGAATTTTGGGACATATCCCTGTATCATTGAGCTTTCCTTGATACTTTCTCTGTTAGTACTTTTTGGTTGAATGAGAGACACCTTGTGATTATTCTGACAGCTTTACTCTTCAGCTGTATCCCTCTATTTAGCTTTTAAAACAACTTTAACAACCATAATTGCAATATCTAAGATTGGATTGGTTCTTTTATAATAACCTATACTTATTTTATGGCTATGATACCATACTCTATACTCTTGGGATGTTAAATACACTTATTTGATGTCTTCTTTAATATGCTGTTATTTTGACTTTTTAAAACGGTTTGTTCAGGGCCTTTCGTGTTACTGACTTTCTTCAAATATTTTAGTGATTCACAGTTATAATTTTAAGTTATTTAGTTGCTCATTTTTGTATTTGAGAGCCTCTTTTTATGGATGCCGTATCTGTTATCATAGCCTGTGATGAGAGTAGTGGGCTGTGCTATGTTGAGGATATGCCAGTATTTTGGCTCTGGGTACAGTAGTCCTCCTTATCTGCAGGGAGTATATTCCAAGACCCCCAGTGGATACCTGAAACCATGAATAGTACCAAACCCAGTGGCTGTCAGTTGGAACACGTTTCCATTCACGTCTGCCATCCACAAGTTTAATGCTCTTTACACCTTAACTAAGTGCCTACCTGCACTCTGGGGTAACTTCCGAAGTTTAAGGTGCACAGCAAAACTAACACGAATTTATCTTTCCTTCTTCACAATTTCACGGATGGAAGATTTGTTCATACCTTAGATCTAAGCCATATTTTAGATCTTAGCAACCTCAGCATACAATTAAAATAATTATTGTCAAGAACTTTTACATTTTCACTTAAAGGAAGCAATTTACAGTTTTTTGGCACATCGGAATTGCCAGAATCACTACTGGCATTTTGAGGTCATTATTAAGTTAAATAGGAGTTGCTTGAATGCAAACACTGAGATACTGTGACAGTTGATCTGATTAACGAGGACAGCTACTGATTGACTAACAGGCAGGCAGCGTAGACAGTGTGGATACACTGGACAAAGGGATGATTCACATCCTGGGAAGGACAGAGCAGATGGTACAAGATTTCATCCCAGTACTCAGAATCTACCTGCAATGTAAAACTCATGAATTATTTCTGGAACTTTCCATGTAATATATTAAGACTGTGTTGACCATGGGTAACAAACTGTGGAAAGCAAAACCATGGATAAGGGGGAACTAGGGTATGGGCTTCTGTTCTCCTCTTGCGGGTCAGCAAGTGTCTGGGGGCACTGCCCTGCTTTCCCAGCTTCGGTGGCATCACTCAGTTGTTATAGGCTGGCCAGAGACACTGCTTTTGTCCACCACTCAGCTTGTGGTTGGGGAAGGGAACTTGCGTAGCTATTCTGAATCAATCAGCTCCCTAATGAGTCACCCTGTCCAGTACCCCAGGGAACCCTCCTGCTTTTTGCATCTGTTGACTCTGGGTTCCAACCCATGCCTCCTTTTATAGTAGTCTTGCCTGTTTTGAATTATGATTCCCTATCATTTTGTTTGCCTATAACTGATCCTACCTGCTTTTGATGTTTCTGGCATTCTTCCAAATTTCTATTCCATTGCTAGCCCTCTCATCTTTCAGTGCTATAGCAGATTTCTTATTTTTCTTCTGTTTTATTAATTACAGCACTTTATGGAATTTAGAGTTGAGAGGGAGAGCAGATACTTCTGTTTGCCATCTTGATCCAATCTCACTAACAAACAGCACTTAAAGCAAACAGAACAAAAACTCTTTGTCTTTCTCTTGTTGAGACTCCTGGGATGATCCTATAGTTACAAAATGTGCTGTGCAACTAGTAACTCACAGAACATATTTACAAGGTTTTATTAAAATATCAGCCCTTTTCCCTTCTTCCTAACACACAACATTTTGTGATGAATCTGTTAATACTAAACACCAGTTCCTAGCAGTGAATACTCTAGGAGTCATGAAATAGTATTCAGTGATAATTATATTTGCATTGAAAAAATAACATATTAGGGACAACAGAATTATCTTTTAAAAAGTGACCCAGTTGACTTTAGGAGAAAAGACAGGCCCAGCACTGCCCTCGGGTGCCTCATTTTAGAGGCCCTCCTGTAGTTGTGTTCTTTCCCAGGGGGCAAAAAGTCTGCTGGGCCAGTGGGTTATGCCTACCTGGAACTCACTTCATTCTCTTCTCGACCACGTTCAAGGTACCTGAAACCCTGATTTTCCTGCCTAAACTGCTCAGCTTCCAGGGCTTTCACAAGGCCTATCTATCTTTTGCCCAAACCTACCCTGGTTGAAAAGGTGTCCAAGGGGCAGCTATTTGCAAGGCTGTGGAAAAACTTACTTACTTAGGCATGTAGGCTGAAGAATACACAAGTGTTCCTGTGAAGCCCTTCAGAATACTGAAGGAGCGGGTGGAAGAGAAGGAAGGCAATGTGCTGCAGGCTGGTTCTCCCCTGGCTGCCATCTTTGGGCATGGAATTCTGAGAAGTGTGAAAATTCAAGGTGGACTTGCATGTTGTGCATAAAATTTAGTAGCTTTTAAGCTTGATTTATAACACCGAAATATCTTGACCTATCTATTGCTTCAGGGCCTGCAAATTTTAGGGGAGGTCCTAGGAAGGAGAAAGAGTGATTCCTAAGTGGGTCCAGGCAGCATACCTGCAAACGGTGATGTCATAAAGTAGTCCTGCTGAGTTTTAGGTAAGCCACTTATAGCTACTACCATTTTTTTCAGCCAGTGGAAACATATTCCATATCTAACCAGTTTCTTCCAGTAGTTTGAGCTAACGAGAAGAGGAGTAAAAAGTTCTAGAATCAATTGCTGGCAAGATGGCCGAATAGAAACAGCTCCGGTCTACAGCTCCCAGAGAGATGGATGCAGAAGGTGGGTGATTTCTGCATTTCCAACTGAGGTACCTGGTTCATCTCACTGGGACTGGTTGGACAGTGGGTGCAGCCCACAAGGGCGAGCCGAAGCAGGGTGGGGCGTTGCCTTACCCAGGAAGCACAAGGGGTCAGGGAACTCCCTCTCCTAGCCAAGGAAAGCCATTAGGGACTGTACTGTGAGGAACAGTGCACTCCGGCCCAGGTACTGCACTTTTCCCACGGTCTTCACAACCTGCAGACCAGGAGATTCCTTCCGGTGCCTACACCACCAGGGCCCTGGGTTTCAAGCACAAAACTGGGCGGCTGTTTGGGCAGACACCAAGCTAGCTGCAAGAGTTTTTTTTCATACCCCAGTGGTTCCTGGAATGCCAGTAAGACAGAACCATTCACTCCCCTGGAAAGGGGGCTGAAGCCAGGGAGCCAAGTGGTCTGGCTCGGTGGATCCCATCCCCACAGTGCCCAGCAACCTAAGATTCACCAGCTTGAAATTCTTGCTGCCAGCACAGCAGTCTGAACTCAGCCTGGGATGCTCGAGCTTGGTGGGGGAAGAGGTGTCTGCCATTCCTGAGGCTTGAGTAGGCAGTTTTACCCTCAAAGTGTAAACAAAGCCACCTGGAAGATCGAACTGGGCAGAGCATACTGCAGCTCAGCAAGGCCGCTGTGGCCAGACTGCCTCTCTATATTCCTCCTCTCTGGGCAGGGCATCTCTGAAAAAAAAAAAAAAAAAAAAAAAAAAAAGCATCCCCAGTCAGGGGCTTAGAGATAAAACCACCATCTCCCTGGGACAGATGTCACCTTCCCCCAGGTGAAGGGGCAGCTGTGAGCGCAGCTTCAGCAGACTTAAACGTCCCTGCCTGATGGCTCTGAAAAGAGCAGTGGATCTCACAGCACAGCATTCGAGCTCTGCTAAGGGTCAAACTGCCTCCTCAAGTGAGTTCCTGACCCCAGTGTCTCCTGATTGGTAGACACCTCCCAGTAGGAGCTGACAGACACCTCATATGGGAGAGCTCTGGCTGGCATCTGGTGAGTGCCCCTCTGGGACGAAGCTTCCAGAAGAAGGAACAGGCAGGAATCTTTGCTGTCCTGCAGCCTGGGTAATACCCAGGCAAACAGGGTCTGGAGTGGACCTCTAGGAAACTCTAGCAGACCTGCAGCAGAGAGGTCTGTTAGAAGGAAAACTAGCAAACAGAAAGAACTAGCATCAACATCAACAAAAAGGACGTCCACTCAGAGATCCCATCCGGAGGTCACCGACATCAAAGACCAAAGGTAGATAAATCCACAAAGATGGGGAGAAACCAGCGCAAAACAAGTGAAAATTCCAAAAAACAGAATGTCTCTTCTCCTCCAAAGGATCACAACTCCTCGCCAGCAAGGGAACAAAACTGGATGCAGAATGAGTTTGACAAATTGACAGAAGTAGGCTTCAGAAGGTGGGTAATAACAAACTCCTCCAAGCTGAAGAAGCATGTTCTAACCTAATGCAAGGAAGCTAAGAACCTTGAAAAAAGGTTAGACGAATTGCTAACTGGAATAACCAGTATAAAGAAGAACATAAATGATCTGATGGAGCTGAAAAACACAGCACAAGAACTTTGTGAAGCATACACAAGTATCAACAGCTGAATCGATCAAGTGGAATAAAGGATGTCAGCGACTGAAGATCAACTTACTTAATGAAATAAAGCGAGCAGACAAGATTAGTGAAAAAGGAATGAAAAGGAACGAACAAAGCCTCCAAGAAATATGGGACTATGTGAAAAGACAAAATCTACGTTTGATTGATGTACCTGAAAGTGATGAGGAGAACAGAACCAAGTTGGAAAACACTCTTCAGGATATTATCCAGGAGAACTTCCCAACCTGGCAAGACAGGCCAACATTCTAATTCAGGAAATAACAGAAAACACCACAAAGATACTCCTCGAGAAGAGCAACCCCAAGACACATAATTGTCAGATTCACCAAGGTTGAAATGAAGGAAAAAATGTTAAGGGCAGCCAGAGAGAAAGTTCGGGTTACCCACGAAGGGAAGCCCATCAGACTAACAGTGGATCTCTCTGCAGAAACCCTGCAAGCCAGAAGAGAGAGGGGGCCAATATTCAACATTCTTAAAGAAAAGAATTTCCAACCCAGAATTTCATATCCAGCCAAACTAAGCTTCATAAGAGAAGGAGAAATAAAATCCTTTTGCAGACAAGCAAATGCTGAGAGATTTTGTCACCACCAGGCCTGCCTTACAAGAGCTCCTGAAGGAAGCACTAAACATGGAAAGGAACAACCAGTACCAGCCACTGCAGAAACATGCCAAATTGTAAAGACCATCAACACTATGAAGAAACTGCATCAACTAATGGGCAAAATAACCAGCTAGCATCATAATGACAGGATCAAATTCACACACAACAATATTAACCTTAAGTGTAAATGGGCTAAATGCCCCAATTAAAAGACACAGACTGGCCATGCATGGTGGCTCACACCTATAATCCCAGCACTTTGAGAGGCCGAGGAGGGTGGATCACGAGGTCAGGAGTTTGAGACCAGCCTGACCAACATGGTGAAACTCCGTCTCTACTAAAAATACAGTAATTAGCCAGGCATGGTAGTGCAGGCCTGTAATCCCAGCTACTCAGGAGGCTGAGGCAGGAGAATCGCTTGAACCCGGGAGGCGGAGGTTGTGGTGAGCCAAGATCGTGCCACTAGACTCCATCCTGGGCAACAGAGCAAGACTCTGTCTCAAAAAAAAAAAAAAAAAAGACACAGACTGGCAAATTGGATAAAGAGTCAAGACCCATCAGTGTGCTGTATTCAGGAGACCCATCTCAAGTACAAAGACACAGGCTCAAAATAAAGGGATGGAGAAATATTTACCAAGCAAATGGAAAGCAAAAAAAAGCAGGAGTTGCAATCCTAGTCTCTGATAAAACAGACTTTAAACCAACAAAGATCAAAAGAGACAAAGATGGGTATTACATAATGGTAAAGGAATCAATGCAACAAGAAGAGCTAACTATCCTAAATATATATGCACCCAATACAGGAGCACCCAGATTCATAAAGGAAGTTCTTAGAGACTTACAAAGTGACTTAGACTCCCACATAATAATAGTGGGAGACTTTAACACCCCACTGTCAATATTAGATCAACGAGACAAAAAATTAACAAGGATATTCAGTACTTGAACTCAGCTCTGGACCAAACGGACCTAATAACATCTACTGAACTCTCCACCCCAAATTAACAGAATACACATTCTTCTCAGCACATCACACTTATTCTAAAACTGACCACATAATTGGAAGTAAAACACTCCTCAGCAAATGCACAAGAATGGAAATCATAACAAACAGTCTCTCAGACCACCATGCAATCAAATTAGAAATCAGGATTAAGAAACTCACTCAAAACTGCATAACTACATGGAAACTGAACAACCTGCTCCTGAATGACTACTGGGTAACGAAATGAAGGCAGAAATAAGGTCTTTGAAACCAATGAGAACAAAGACACAACGTACCAAAATCTCTGGGACACATTGAAAGCAGTGTGTAGAGGAAAATTTATAGCACTAAATGCCCACAAGAGAAAGCAGGAAAGATCTAAAATCGACACTCTAACATCACAATTAAAAGAACCAGAGAAACAAGAGCAAACAAATTCAAAAGCTAGCAGAAGACAAGAAATAACTAAGATCAGAGCAGAACTGAAGGAGATAGAGACACAAAAAGCCCTTCAAAAAAATCAAGGAATCCAGGAGCTATTTTTTTGGAAAAGATCAACAAAATACATAGACTGCTAGCTAGACTAATAAAGAAAAGAGAGACGAATCAAATAGACGCAATGAGAAATGACAAAGGGGATACTGCCACTGATCCCACAGAAATACAAACTACCATCAGAGAATACTATAAATACCTCTATGCAAATAAACTAGAAAATCTAGAAGAAATGGCTGAATTCCTGGACACATACACCCTCCCAAGTCTAAACCAGGAAGAAGGTGAATCCCTGAATAGACCAATAACAAGTTCTGAAATGAAGGCAGTAATAGTCTACCGACCAAAAAACGTCCAGGATCAGACAGATTCACAGCCGAATTCTACCAGAGGTACAAAGAGGAGCTGATACCATTCCTTCTGAAACTATTCCAAATAATAGAAAAAGAGGGAATCCTCCTTAACTCATTTTATGAGGCCAGCATCATCCTGATACCAAAACCTGGCAGACACACAACAACAAAAAAAGAAAATTTCAGGCCAATATCCCTGATGAACATCGATGTGAAAATCCTCAATAAAATACTGGCAAACTGAATCCAGCAGCACATCAAAAAGCTTATCCACCACAATCAAGTTGGCTTCATCCCTGGGATGCAAGGCTGGTTCAGCATAAGCAAATCAATAAACATAATCCATCACATAAACAGAACCAAAACAAAAACCACATGATTATCTCAATAGATGCAGAAAAGGCCTTTGACAAAATTCAATACCCTTCATGCTAAAAACTCTCAATAAACTAGGTATTGATGAAATGTATCTAAAAATAAGAGCTATTTATGACAAACCCACAGCCAATATCATACTGAATGGGCAAAAACTGGAAGCATTCCCTTTAAAAACCGGCACAAGACAAGGATGCCCTCTCTCGCCACTCCTATTCAACATAGTGTTGGAAGTTGTGGCCAGGGCAATCAGGCAAGAGAAAGAAATAAAGGGTATTCAGACAGGAAAAGAGGAAGAACTGTCTCTGTTTGCAGATGACATGATTGTATATTTAGAAAACCCCATCTCAGCCTAAAATCTCCTTAAGCTGATAAGCAACTCCAGCAAAGTCTCAGGATACAAAATCAATGTGCAAAAATCACAACCATTTGTATACACCAATAACAGAGAGCCAAATCATGAGTGAACTCCCATTCACAACTGCTACAAAGATAATTAAATACCTAGGAATACAACTTACAAGAGATGTGAATGACCTCTTCAAGGAGAACTACAAATCACTGCTCAAGGAAATAAGAAAAGACACAAACAAATGGAAAAACATTCCATGCTCATGGATAGGAAGAATCAGTATCATGAAAATGGCCATACTGCCCAAAGTAATTTATAGATTCAATGCTATCTCCATCAAGCTACCATTGACTTTCTTCACAGAATTAGAAAAAACGACTTTAAATTTTATATGGAACCAAAAAAGAGCCTGCATAGCCAAGACAATCCTAAGCAAAAAGAACAAAGTTGGCGGCATCACACTATCTGACTTCAAACTATACTACAAGGCTGCAGTAACCACATGGCATGGTACTGGTACCAAAAAAGATATATATATATATATATCAATGAACAGATCAGAGCCTTCAGAAATAACACCACACATCTACAATCATCTGATCTTTGACAAACCTGACAGAAACAAGCAACAGGGAAAGGATTCCCTGTTTCATAAATGGTGCTGGGAAAACTGGCTAACCATATGCAGAAAACTGAAACTGGACCCCTTCCTTACACCTTATACAAAAATTAACTCAAGATGGATGAAAGACTTAAACATAAGACCTAAAACCATAAAAACCGTAGAAGAAAACCTAGGCAATACTATTCTAGACAGAGGCATGAGCAAAGACTTCATGACTGAAACACCAAAAGCAATGGCAACAAAAGCCAAAATTGACAAATGGGATCTAATTAAACTACAGAGCTTCTGCAAAGCAAAAGAAACTGTCATGCAAGTGAACAGGCAACCTACAGAATGGGAGAAAATTTTTGCAATCTATCCATCTGACAAGGGGCTAATATCCAGAATCTACGAAGAACTTAAACAAAAAAACAAACCTCATCAAAAAGTGGGCAAATGTTATGAACAGACACTTCTCAAAAGAAGACACTGATGCAGCCAGCAAACATGTGAAAAAAAGCTCATCACTGGTCATTAGAGAAATACAAATCAAAACCACAATGAGATACCATCTCACGCCAATTAGAATGGCGATCATTAAAAAGTCAGTAAACAACAGATGCTGGAGAGGATGTGAAGAAATAGGAATGCTTTTACACTGTTTGTTGGTGGGAGTGTAAATTAGTTCAACCATTGTGGAAGACAGTGTGGCGATTCCTCAAGAATCTAGAACTAAAAATACCATTTGACCCAGCAATCCCATTACTGAGTATATACCCAAAGGATTATAAATCATTCTACTATAAAGACACACGCATGTGTATGTTTATTGTGGCACTATTCACAATAGCAAAGACTTGGAACCAACCCAAATGCCCATCAGTGATAGACTGCATAAAGAAAATGTGGTACATATACACCATGGAATACTATGCAGCCATAAAAAAGGATGAGTTCAGCCAGGTGTGGTGGCTCACGCCTGTAATCCCAGCACTTTGGGAAGCTGAGGCAGGCAGATCACAAGGTCAGGAGATCGAGACCATCCTGGCTACCATGGTGAAACCCCGTCTCTACTAAAAAATACAAAAAAATTAGCTGGGCGTGGTGGCAGGTGCCTGTAGTCCCAGCTACTCAGGAGGCTGAGGCAGGAGAATGGTGTGAACCCAGAAGGCGGAGCTTGCAGTGAGCCAAGATTGTGCCACTGCACTCCAGCCTGGGCAACAGAGCAAGACTCCATCTCTAAATAAATAAATAAGTAAAAAGATGAGTTCATGTCCTTTGCAGGGACATGGGTGAAGTTGGAAACCATCATTCTCAGCAAACTAACACAAGAACAGAAAACCAAACACTGCATGTTCTCACTCCTAAGTGGGAACTGAACAGTGAGAACACATGGACACATCACACACTGGGGCCTGTCGGGGGTGGGGGGTTAGGGGAGGGATAGCATTAGGAGAAATACCTAGATGATGGGTTGATGGATACCACAAACCACCATGGCACGTGTATACCTATGTAACAAACCTGCATGTTCTGCACATGTACCCCAGAACTTAAAAGTTTTTTTTTTTTTAAGTTGTAGAATCACTTTCTAGAAGCCAGAAGAGTAATCCTAGTTCCTCTCTCTCACAAAGAGTTGCTCTGTGGTCTTTTAAATATGTAGTATTATATGTAGGCTTATTTGAGCTGAAAACTATCATAAAAGTAGTGCAGCAACTTGGTTAAGTACACAAGTCTAAAATCAAGACTTTCTGTGTTTAGTTCCTAAACTATGACTCACTTAATGTCCCTAGTCCCAGGGATATGCTGGACCTGGCTTGTACCAGCCCAATGACAGCCCATTATGTGTGTATCTTCCCAATTCCATTTTCATTGATACTACATTTGTTGTTTGCAATTGGCCATGGTGGGAACATTTACATCATGCAAATTGGCTACAAACCAGTTTCCTCTTTTGTAAATTAGCAATATTTCCCACATCTGTGTGTGTATATATATATCATTTAGTAAATGCTCAGTAAATAGTAGCAGTTATTACTACTACATGGTCAGAATGTACACAGGCCAGTTCTTTGTAAGGCAGAGGAAATGGTAACTTTAGAAACAGCTGTACATTTCCACTAAGTATAAAGTAATGGTGAAAGACCTTTGAGTAGGTTCTCATATCACTCCCATCTCTATTTTTTTTTTTTGAAACTTATACTGATTTAGCGCTCTCTTTCAGAAGCAGAATAAAAAAGCTAAGATAAAGATTATAAGTGAATCCTAACCGGTCAGGAAGGCTTTGTGTGGTAAAGCAGCTGTGTCAGCAGAGATATCTGAATTTCTAGGAGCCTGTTTTTAACCTCTAACAGCCAGGAGATAGAGCCTGAAAAGCTTACAGGAGCTACTGAAGATCAGATACTGAACCTGTTGAAGGTTATTTACTTATCACCTTCCATAATACCAATGCTTCATACCTGTATGGTGCTTCATAGATTAGCATGCATTTTCACATATATTCTGGGTTTAATTCTCAAACTTCTCTGAGAAGTGGTAGATGAAGGAATAGGCTTAGAGAGGTGAAAACATTTGCCCAAAGACATGGTTAACTGAGTATCAACACAAGTTGACTCTTAACATTCAAGGCTCTTAGAACTGGAAATATAAATTTCAGGACTACCATGTTTGAAAGGGCTAATCTACCAACTAAATATTAACATTTGGAGTCGATTATTTCCTCTCAGTTGATACAATTCCAATTAAAGCACATCTTCTTGACATTCATTTAGCATTTTGGGGCATGTGATCTACATGAATGTATTATTCCAGTTATTCCCTGGTAACACTGATACTGCAGCACTCATTTTACAGCAAAGAGGGGGAAGGTCTAGAGAGGTGAAGAATTTGTGTAAGATGAGGAGCAGGCAACTCAGGGGCAGTCTTTTTTGTATTACACTGTATTATTCCTTATTGGACTTTTAGCACAAAATAAAAATTTTTTCTTGATACAAATACTACTTAAGTTACTCCTGAGTTTGAGGAAGAGTAAGGCTCATCATTTCTTTTACCTCTAGAAAATGAAGTTTCCTTCAAATCCATCTTAAGAACCCTTAGTGTACTGACAAATCATGACTATATCAAACATTATTAGAAATGAGGCCCATTAATAAGGGCCTAGTCATTTTACCAAGTTTCTTCCTCAGTGGGTATTTATTAAATCAGGTTTTGACTTATTTCTGGAAATCATATTTTGGATATAGTAAGAGAGCAGGGCTCTGCCAAGCCAGATATGAAGCAGATAAGAGCTATTTCTGCAGGACTGATCTCAAGGTGTCCTGTAAGCCTGACAGCCAATACACAGTTCCTTAAGGAACAAAGGTCTTCCTTTTAGTGATCATCTTCTCACATGAGCACACATTATTTCCGAGAGGACTAACCCTAGGGAAGGGAGAAGTACTATGTAAAGAGCATAACAGCTGAATAGCTGTTGTTCCTAGATTTGTATAGAAGTGACTGATTCCGGTTCTGCCACTATGTAACTGTATAGTCTTGAACCAAGTTTGTTCTCTCATTGATTCAAAAAAGGAGTTCCACTTGCACTTTTCAAAGGCTCCAGATACCACAGTCGATGTTCTGTATATAACAGAAGAGGAACAGCTGAGTCTAGGATGGAAATTCAGAGTGGGTCATTTTTTTTTCTACTAAACATAATCTGTAACTTTATCATAGAATGTAATAAAACGTTCCTAGAAAAAGTATCACTGATGAAAAGCAATTGGTATTTTTCTCAGTTCACTGCTACTCCTGAACACTTGAGGATTCTGCTGAGGGTTTAAGTTATGTGATTTCCTAGAATTAAAAAATAATAATTTCTTGAACACCAACCCCCTTTATCCTGAGCTCATTACATTGCACAGAGGCGTACACAGATGGTCTCTCTCCCTTCTTGTATTCTTAACAAGAAAATGAAAAATAAAATCCCTTATTTGTATAGTACTTTGTAATATAATTTACAAAGGTCTTCACATATACATTTTCTCACATAATTGTCACAGAAAGCAAATATTTTCCTCATTTAAAAGATGATAATACTTAACCTTGTCCTAGGTTACACTACTAGAAATGGGGGAAATCAGGAATAGAACTTGGGTCTTTTGTACCCAGTGTTGTTTCCCTCATATACCAAGCCACTCTTAAATATAAGAAATTTTGTTTCAATGCATTTCCATTACCTTGTTCAGGAAAAAAAAAAATCTAGTAAAAAAATTCACAAAAGATAAAATTACTTGCTATCAAAGTCTTACCACTGGTATACCTGATTTCAGGAGTCACAGTGTCAGATCTCTGCATGTTCGGCCCAACGCAGGTGTGTTCTACATCCATACAATCACCGCCCCACAGCTTTCTGACCAAATCAAGTACATTATAAGAGAGGCAAGATAATACATTACCAGAGACCTGAATAAGCGACCTCACAAAGTGAAACAGACCTTTCAGAAAGCTTACCTGAGTGCAAGCTGTTCCATCCTCTGACTGGGAACTGGTAATGGAATATTAAGAAGCCAAAACTGGGATTCCTGCTATGAAACTAACAACACAAAATACCATAATTTTATAAAAGTTTGTAAAAGACTGCTGATTGGCTATGTGGAAACTATCAGTGGCTAAAAGCTACATACTGAAAACTTAAATTCCTGCTATCCATTTGAACTTTTAGAAGTTTGGGAATTGTGAACATGGCAGGCAGAAAGACAATCTAAATACCTAA
This sequence comes from Homo sapiens, assembly GCF_000001405.40. NCBI lineage: Eukaryota > Metazoa > Chordata > Mammalia > Primates > Hominidae > Homo > Homo sapiens. The sequence continues at coordinate 181,946 of NW_025791761.1, read as the reverse complement.
AGTCCAACAAAAGGAATGAGAGAACTGGCCTATTGTGAAAAGCATTCCAGTGTGATGGATTCCAAGTTTTATAGTTGGTATTCTGGTTATCAGTGTAGGATTTTTCTCTAAGATGGACTCCATAACATGTTTCCTATTTATGAAAAAGGATTTACAAAATATAATACAATACAAGCAAATTACTACCATTTGGGGGCTGTAAAACTTTTGAAAAAACTGGTTAAAAGAAGGTTCCTAATTGTAATCTTCCCCTTCAAAAGAAATACTGAAAATGGCTGTTCTCTTAATACTGCCTTTGGGGCAATTTCTAATTCTCTGACAGCATTAGGAACCCCTAGATTTGTAAGCCAGATCTCTAAGTAAATAATTTCACAGCATCAATAATTTTTAATTAGTAAATGATAAGTTCCTAGTTGGGAGTGACTTTTCCTCAAACCTGTAAGGTCTCTAAGTTGCCTAGCACAGGGGGCCCCAACCCCTGGGCCGCAAACCAGAACCAGTAGTGGTCCATGGCAGGCTGTATAACAGAAGGTGAGCGGCAGGCAGGCGGGCGGGCAGGCGAATGAGCAATACCACCTGAGCTCCCCGTCCTGTCAGATCAGCAAGTGACGGTATTAGATTCTCAGAGGAGCGCAAACCCTAATAATGTGAACTGCACATGTGAGGGATCTAGGTTGTGTGTGCTCCTTCCTTATGAGAATCTAATAATGTCTGATGATGATCTGAGGTGGAACAGTTTGATCCTGAAACCATCTCCCCAACCTCCCTGGTCCGTGGAAAAATTGTCTGCCATGAAACAAACAGATGATGGCTGGTGCCAAAAAGGTTGGGGACTGCTGGGCTAGCAATCAGCAAGATGGTAGCCTAAGGAAAGCAAGATCTCCTTTCTTGTTGCTGTGTAGCTTGGATTAAAAACAAAACTCAATGGGAACCCCATTACTAAGTCATCAAGAAGTAAAGCTGTTGGCTTTTTAACCTTGGCTTATCCTGAAGACTAAGACATGACACCAGCATCCTAGATGATAAGCAGCATCTGGAGCTGCATTTGGAGCTCCATTCTCTTTAGCATACATTTAATTATACAGCTTTCTCATTTAGAAAACTATTAGAATGTCAATGTTGAAATACTGGGGTTGTGGAAAAGACATTTAAAAATACACCGCCCAGTGAGTGGCAGGTGACCACTGAAATTTATGGCAGCGCTTTAGGGAAAAACAAACAAACAAAAAAACCTACTGGCTTTCTGACTTAAAAGTAATGCACTACTCAATATAAAGCAAAGATAGTATGATATGCTTCACAGCAGATTTTCACTCATCCATTCAAGTCTTTCTGTATGGTTCAAGGGGTGGATATTAGTCTATCCACACTAGTACAGAACAGACTAAAACATTTTAACAACACTGAAAGACTAGGACCAATCATTCCTAAAACGACTTTCCTATAGTTCCTCCCACTAAATTTTAAGTCATCCATTCCTTTGAGATGCAGTATTTCAGCATTATTGTAACAACATTTTATACAAAGAGATTTTCTAAACTTTATAGGGAGCTGGATCTGTAAACAGGAAGAAAGCTTCTACCAATGCATATTTGGTTTAAATAATACCAAAAAATGATTATTTCAGAGATTTATTGCAAGTTAATTGTCTGTGAAGCTGGATATTCCTTAACATGAAGGTAATAAACTTTAACGTTCCACTCAAAAAGACAAAAACCAAACAACGAAAAATAAGAAATTAACCAGAAAGCTATAGCTTGTTTTCTTACTCAGAAAAAAAGTATAACTGATAAGGTACAATTTCTGTAACTGGATATTTTTCAAAATTATAAGGCTTTTAGTTCTAAAAGTATAAAGAACTGTGATGCACTTCTAGTCAACCTAATCTTGCTAGAAGCTTTATCAACACTGACAGTCTCAATACTTTCTCTTTTGCTATTATATAGTCAACTTTAAAGGTAATTCCTTAAAGTAAATTTGTGTGTTCCTAAAAATATGGACTAAAGTTGAATGGGCAAAGGTATACATCGCATTTTCTGGGGGAGTAGGGGAGAAGTCATTCCCAAAAAGTGAAATATTTAAACAATTTTATTCTTTCTTTCACAACTAAACACACCTTGAGGCTGAGGAACATGTGATTTGCCATATGATTTCCAACCTTTTCTTATCCATTATGTTTTAACACTTGTTTTCCCTACTTTTAGTCATTTTTACAAACTGAAGGTAAAGATACAGTAACTACATGAGTAGTGAGTACATGAATTTTTCTATATAAAGAAAGTGTGACTCTACTAAAATTGAAGTTTTGACTCACAGACACTGCTACAATGAGATAACTTGAGATATTGTCTTTGGTATATAATGGGCAATTATGGGGTATTAATTTATGAAACTGAATATAGAAAAGTAAAGAATTGCCTACTTTTCTATATTCCATTTCACATACTGATACCCCTTAATTGAGTAGAGCTGAAAGAAAATTCAGAAATCATTAAATCAAAACTTAATTCCTACATATAAAGAATGCGGCACAGACTTGGCTAAAATCACACTTCTCATAGATGCTTCAGCAAGAATCAGAGTTTGGGGCCAATAATTCCAGGTCAATTATTCCTTACACTATACACTACTCATTATTTGGAAATTTCTCTCCCAACAAATCTTTGTTACAATTATTAAAAGAAAAATGTTCACATTCTGTTTTCTAATCTCTCTTCCTAGTTCATGTTCTGTTGAATAAAAGACAGTTACACTTCAGAAGTACAAAAGGTTGGGATCAAATAAATAGACAATTTAAAGTAGATAAAATCAAGATCTGATCATAGTCCTTTCCTCTATTCCTGAAATTCACTGATTTCAATACTGATTCTTAGATATTTGTCACCTACCTTTCGGACTTGTAGACAATGCTGTGGCAACAGATCTCAAGATGTAGATTTTAATGCCAAAGTATGGGTCCATTTGAGCACTTTGCCTTTATGGCTACTGAAATCATGAAATCAATTTCTCTCAAAGATTTTACTCTCAGTGAGGTCACATACATAGTTCTTAATCAGTGAAAATTATAGGCAGCTTTCTATTTATCCTTTAAAGGAAATATGTCTTAGATGGAAAGAATATAAAGTAGTAAAGCAAAAGTTAACCTAGGGGAAATTTTTTCACCAACAGATTATCTAGACATCAATTCATAATGCACTGGGAGATCTATAGTATATACCACATGGTATATTTAGGGTACACAGCTCTATAGGATTTGAGATGGCTGCTCACAGCAGGAGCTTAAAGAAAGATATGGAAAAAATATATTTTATAAAAGATGGAAAAATTCAAGTTGTAAGGAGTAAAAATGAAAATTTGAAAAGTTAACGCATATTTGTTTTTATTTATAGGTAACTACCACATGAATTATAAAGACAACAAAGGATGTCAGAATGAACATGGATAGGTGTATGCATACTACGGCTAAGGAGAAACAATGTTCCTACATATTATGGGTAGTGAGAACATTATCTGTATAACAGGGAACTGTGATTATTTAAAAATATGCAGAACTTATTTCATCTGTGCTTTAGAAATAACTGTATACAGTGTTATAAGTTGAAAAGAACTCAAAATAACTAATACCAAATATACACCTATGTATTAGAATTCAAAAAAGCTGCTTTCTGTGAAGTCAATCAGCTATATTAAAAAATGACACAAATCCAAAACAAGATGCATGTTATATATAAAGGGACATTGTAAGTTTCCTTGCTGCATTAAACCCATGGTTTAATCCATGAAATTTCCTTTTAATTATCATTTAGACAGAAGCATGCAAATAGTCTCAGGATCTACTTAAGAACCTTTCCCAAATCCACTAGTTACACTCCCCTTTTCAGGAACTAAGCAGGTATTCGGGTAGCTGCTTCCTCCTCTGCATCAGCTCGGTTTGCATTAATTTCTGCAAGTGTTCGGCCAAACCGTGCCCATTCATCATTGCGGGGAACAGCAATCTGCTGTTAAAAGAAAGACAATGTTTTATATACAATGAAATAAAAGATCATTTTACCCACTATTATTCAGTTTGTTTTCAAATAATTTTTCTGTTAAAAAGTAATAATTGACCTGAATGGCCTTTCCATAATTACGGGGACTATAACAATGATTTACAACATTTCAAAACAAAAGACGGTGTTTGTGAAGTGTGTTGTGACAGCCTCAGAAATGACTTGGCTATTATCACCACCAATGCAAGAGAGAATAACAATGATGCTTTGTAAATATAACTCCTATGCACCATCTCATGGATTTTGCTGGAGAGGAATTCCTTAAAATTTTTTTTTTACTGTATTCTTGCAAAATTCCTAGTAAGAAACAGTGTTTGAAGCATGGTTCATAAGGGGGCTCGTTTCTTGTAAGTATTTTTCTTTGGAACATAAGGTAATCTTTCTTGATACCTTAACTCCTTCATCAAAAGCTGTGCTACTATTTACCACTTTAGTGCTGCACTGGTGGCAAAAGAGCCTTGTGATGCTTTACTTCAGAGGCAGCCCAATAACATATATATATATATATATATATATAATTTTTTTTTTTTTTTGAGACAGTCCCACTCTGTTGCCCAGGCTGGAGTGCAGTGGCACTATCTTGGCTCACTGTAACCTCTGCCTCCCAGGTTCAAGTGATTCTCCTGCCTCAGCCTCCCCAGTAGCTGGGATTACAGGTATGTGCCACCATGCCTGGCTAATTTTTGTATTTTCAGTAGAGATGGGGTTTTGCCATGTTGGCCAGGCTGGTCTCGAACTCCTGACCTCAGGTGATCCACCCGCCTCATCCTCCCAAAGTGCTGGGATTACAGGTGTGAGCCACTGCGCCCGGCCCCAATAACAAATATTTTTGATAACTGCCATTATAATATCATAGGAGTCTGACACTGTCATGTTAGGGCACAAACCACTCACTGTGGCAAATGGCTGTGCCTGTTTATAAATCTACACTATCCAGTAGGGTAGCTACTGGCCACATGTGACTGTGTATATTAAAATTAATTAAAATTAAAAATTCAGTTACGCAGTTGTAGTAGCAACACTTAGAGTGTTCAATAGCCATATGTGGCTAGAAGCTACCATATTAGTGCAGGTACAGAACATTTCCATTTGTGCAGATAGTTTAATTGGCTGCTGTAAATGATTAAATCTACCTCCCACCAGATCCAATTGCTAGAGGCCATGGGATATCCAGAGAGGAGAGAAATCATGAGGCATAGCAAAGGAAAGTGACTAAGGTCACTTTTTTAACCCCTAGCCAGGGTTAAAAAAGAGGAAATCCATCCTGGGCTTTGTGTTCAGCCAATCAGAGCAGCAAAGATGAGAGAGCTGCAGCTCATCCTATTGGATTCCATTACTGTGGCTTTGCATCAAGGCTTAAGAGTCAAGATGCACATTGCATAAAGTCACAGATGGTTCTCAAAAGATACTACTTTTGGTTTCTACTACCTGGCCCAAATTAATGAATACAGAAAAATAAATCTTATTTCAATATCAATAAAACCCCAAAGTCCACCTATAACTCCAAACTTCTCCCCAAAGAATTTCTAATTTCCAGCAATGCATGCTTCAAGAAACAAGGTATTTTCAATGTATTTATTGTATTACCCTCAAAATCTGTTGCATGGGAAACAGAACATTCGGTTTAGAAAGAAAATGTTTCAAGAGCTGCTTCTGTGGTAGAAAGTAAGTTTTATCTTTACAACCATATAGTTTAAACAACTCATAAACCTCAAAGCCTAGGGTTAGCCACAAAGATGCCTTTACTACAATGCAACTAAATCGATGTGTCAAAATTACAGGCAGGGAGTCCCATACCTCTCCCACATCGTATATAACAATCTGTCCTTCAGAATCACCCACAGCAATCTCTCTGCCAGAATGGGTCCATCTCACACGATTAAGAGCAGGATTACCCTCCACAGAAATGCTGGCAGTTGGTACCTAAAGTCATTTAAAATAAAGGACAGTGTTAAAAGTTTCATCAAGATTTCTATAAACATGTAAAACAGTAATTCTTCTCTCAAGCTGGCTACATTTTTAAAAACAAAGATGAAAACAGGTAAGAATTTCCCCAACTTTCTTCTTCTTCAGTGATATATTATGAATGACATTATAGTCGATCCTTGAAAATGGTTTGGGAAAATAAGTCTTTGTATAAAAAATTCTCAGAAGACTAGACACATTATTTTGAAAGGTCTTCTCTTGAATAAAGAATCCTTTTTTGTTGTTTTAATGTCTTTAAGAAGTCAAGCTGTTTGAAAACACATGGCCAAAACCCATTTAAAAAGAAAACACTTCAAAAGCCCTCATAAGCAGATTATGGTTCAGTTGTAAAGGACAAGAATCACTTGTGCAGCATGTATCTCTATCAGCTGAAACCTGTATTTGACTCAGTGTTCCTAGAAACGGTTCATACTGAAGGTGCAGTATGAGTCTGTCTAAAGCCTCTTGTTCCATGAGCTAGCTGGAGATAGCCAGGATGATGGCACCAACACAATGGCACCAGCTCCCTGGAATCTGACTGTGCCTCTTCTTTGCTAAGGAAGAAGAGTTTTATTTGCTACACATGGAGCAAACATTCAGTGTTTGGATTCAGACTAAAAGTATGATAAAATTTTTAAAAAATTTTGAAATTTGACAAAAAAATCCTTCTAATTTGTACTAGTCATCCCCAAATAATTTAACCCCATACACAGAATACCAAAATTGTTATAAAGAAATATTAAATTTCAATCCACATTTAATTGTAACTTCAAATCTCTAAGACTAAAATCCAAATTAAGAAAACAGAATTGGTACCATTCTAGCTAACTAGGAAGAGATGTGGGAGATCTGAGTTGACTCTCTCAACAATTGTTATTGACAGAAATGCTAATATTAATTATATTACTAATAGCAATATAGAATAGAATTCTAAGAACATTTTTAAGCTTCTCTAAGCTGGTAAAAATACATGTGACTAAAAATAAATAAGAGTTGCAATTAAATTTAATGGCTAATAAGTGATTTTAGTACAGCAATTAGGAAATCTGATAGTTTCTATATTCATTTTATAGTAACACTCTGTTTTCAATCCTTCATAGAAAAAACTCATCAAAAATCAAAATATATTTTTCCTTCCTTCAAACAAATCAGGCTAAGATTAATGTTTATGGATGATATACAATGCTATCAAGGCTAAGAGATAATTTAGAAATTCAGAATTAAGGTTAACATACTTCAACAGTCTGAAACTATCTGCTTTCTAGCTTATGAATGAAAAACATCCCAGTTATCTTATGAATGAGACTTTGCCAGGACATTAGAGACATGATAGTGCTTTTCAGAAGTAAAAGGAAATGCCCCAGTGCTCCTGGCAACATTATTTCTCCCTTTAGTTCTTCGCAGCATGCTGTTTATTATTTAGGGTACAAAGCTTATTTGAGTTCTTTGTGATGAATCTACAATCACAGAACCCTTTTACATTCTTTGGAAAAAAAGGAATTTCACAAATTATTCAATAAATATCCAATTTTCTATTTTTCAATGCAATTTTTGTTATTTTCCTGCTCACCTCTGTGTCATTATTGAGATTCCACAAATCCAATCTCCCCATGCCATCCACACAGGCAAACAGGGCTGGGTGGGTAGGTGACCACATAACATCATAAACATAGTCTGCATTATCTTCAAATGAATACAAAGGCTTGTTATTCTGAAAGAGAAAAGTTGATTCTTAGCACAGTCCATATATGACATACAAATCATTAAACTACTTATCACTGGGAAAAAAATGACATACATTCAACAGGTATGATAACATTTTATGATATTTAACTCAGCCTAGAAAAAGTTCCTACAATTTGTTTCACTACAGAATTACCTGGTATTGTAAACTAAGAATCAACTATTGATTGCATTTTCTTTTTAACTTGTAGATGCCATACTGTTTAAAAAAAGAAATAGAACATGCTTCAAGAACATCTGTCAATGAGAAGATTCTGGGAAGATAACAGCAATAGCAGTGTACTTTTTAAATCTCCTCTAGTTCTCCCCATAAACTCAGATAAAGCAATGAGGGCAGGAAGAGCAAAGATTCACAGACAGCATCTACAGCAGAATCAGGAGACAAACTTCCAAATAAAATCAGGTGGAAACAAACCTCTCACAACTACAAGACTTGCATGGTATCAGTATCTGTGTGGGAAGAAGATGAAGGAAGGCACGAGAACTTCTGACAGGTGGAGAACAGAACCTCACAGTCATAGCAGATGCTCACTGGACAGTGTGGTGGGCTAATCTGAGAACAGCAGCAAAAACTAGGGGGCAGTTTGGCACAATTCCATTTATAAATACATTTGACCCTTGAACCATATAGGTTTGAACTGCAGAGATCCACTTATACTCATATTTTCTTCTGCCTCTGCCACCCCTGGGACAGCACAACCAACCCTTCCTCTTTCTTTTCCTCCTCAGCCTACTCAACTGTGAAGATGATAAGGATGAAGACCTTTATGATGATCCACATCCACTTAATGCATAGTAAATATATTTTCTCTTCTTTATGATTTTCTTAACATCTTCATTTCTTTAGCTTGCCCTTAAGATGACAGTATATAATACATATAACATAAAAAATATGTGTTAATCAACAATTTATGTTGTCAGAAAGGTTTCTGGTCAGTAGTAGGCTATTAGTAGTTAAGTTTTTTGGAAGTCAGAAGTTATATGTGGATTTTGAACTGCTGGGATAGGCGTTGGCACCCCTAAGCCCTGCATTATTCAAGGGTCAACTGTAAATGCAAGCAGACTACAGTGCAGTATAAGTAAGTTCTCATGGTACAGTCTGGGTGCTATAAACTCTCAAAATTAACAAATCAAAGTTCCTTTCCAAGACAAAGTCTCACAGAAGAGAAACTGCTGGGAGTAGAATCCAAGTTGTAGAATGCCAGACAAAAGAGACAAAGCAGTAAGTTCAGACAGAAGTGGTGGAGAGAAGCAGAAAAGGCACATCTCAGAAAGCACAAGGTACATGTATTCTCACTTTGCAAAAGCCAGAGAAGAGACAGCTTTAACCTAGAAAATGAACTAGGAAAGTTATCCTTGCCCATTCCCTCCCTCCTAAAAATACACAAAAATTCATTTCACTAGTAGACAATAGCAAAGAAAAGGATCTCAGTCAGATTCCATAAAAGTTATTGTGGTGTCAAGAAAATTAGATAGGAAAGGAATAGTCTTTTCAAGAAATGGTGCTGGGAAAACTAGATATACATATGCAAAAGAATAAAGCTGGCCCAGGTGCCATGGCTCATGCCTGTAATCCCAGCACTTTGAGAAGCCAAGGTGGGTGGATCACATGAGCTCAGGAGTTTGAGACCAGCTTGGCAACATGGCAAAACCCCATCTCCACAAAAAATACAAAAATTAGCTGAGCATGGTGGCATGCACCTATAGTCTCAGCCACCCTGGGGGCTGAGATGGGTGGATGGTTTGAGCCCAGGATGTCGAGGCTGCAGTGAGCTGAAATCACACCACTGCACTCCAGCCTAGGCGATGGGAGTGAGACCTTGTCTCAAAAAATAAAAAAATAAAAAAAATAAAGTTGGATCCCTCCTTCCTTACATCATATAGAAAAATTAAATGTATCACAGATCTAAATGGAAAGTAAAACTATGAAACTTTTTTTTTTTTTTTTTCTGAGACCGCGTCTCGCTCTGTCGCCCAGGTTGGAGTGCAGTGGCATGATCTCAGCTCACTGGGTTCATGCGATTCTCCTGCCTCAGCCTCCCAAGTAGCTGGGATTACAGGCGTGCACCACCATGCTCAGCTAATTTTTGTATTTTTAGTAGAGAAGGGGTTTCACCATGTTGGCCAGGCTGATCTTGAACTCCTGACCTCAGGTGATCCACCCACCTCGGCCTCCCAAAGTGCTAGGATTACAAGCGTGAGCCACCGTGCCTGGCCAAAACTATGAAACTCTTAAAGGAAGCATACAAGTAAATCTTTGTGACCTTGAACTCAGCAATGATTTCTCAGTTGAGAAGCCAAAAGCACAATGATAAAAGAAAAAGTAGGTAAACTGAGCTACATCAAAATTAAATACTTTTGGGCTTCAAATGATATCAAGAAAGTGAAAAGAGAACCTACACAATGGGAGAAAATATTTGCAAACCATGTATCTGATACATCACTGTGTCCACAGTGCTTACAATAGCCTATAAGTACATGAAAAGATGTTCAACATCATTAGTCGTGAGAGGAATGCAAATCAAAACCACAATGAGGTATCACTTCATACCACTAGGATAGCTAGTATAAAAAAGTAACAAATGTTGGTGAAGATACAGGAAATCAGAACCTTCATACCTTGCTGGGGAATGTAAAATGGTGCTGCCACTTGAAAAACAGTTTGGCAGCTCCTCAAAATGCTAATTAGTTACCATGTGACCCAACAATCCCACTCCTAGGTATATACCCGAGAGAAATAAAAACTTGCACATTCACAGCAGCATGATTCATAATAGCCAAAAAGCAGAAGCAACTGAAGTGTTCATCTGATGAATGTATAAACAAAAAGTGGTATATCTATACAATGGGGTATCATTCAGCTATAAAAGGAACAATACATTGATACAAGAAGTATCAATATGAAGGATGACCCTTGAAAACATTATGCAAAGTGAGAGAAGCCAGTACACAATTGCAAGATTCCATGAAATGTCCATGAACTGTCCATAACAGGCAGACCCAAAGAGATAGAAAGTAGATTGATTAGTGGTTTCCAGGAGCTGTGGGGGTAGGGGAGAATGTGGAGTGACTGCTAATGGGCATAATTTTTCTTTCTAAAATTTGAAAATGTTCTAAAATTAGATACTGGCAATTAGGCGTGCCTCTGTGAATATACTAAGAACCACTGAATTGTATACTTTAAAAGGGTGAATTTCATGGTATAAGGGTTTTGCTCAATAAAACTGTTACTTAAAAAGAAACTTATTTTAAAAGAAGAGATAAGGTGATCTAAAAAAAAAAGTGATAAAGAAGATCAGCAAAAGTACATCTACAATGGCAGGTCCTGAAGAAGAAAACCAAAGCAGTAATACAGAACAAATACCAAAAACAACTCAAAAGAACTCTCCTAAAATGAAAGACAGCTTGAAACTACATATTGAAAGGATATCCTGTGTATCTAGGAACACTGACCCTCTAAAGAAAAGGGAAAAAATCATTTGATCACCCACATTTTTTAAAAAGACCAAATCGCAAGTAGGAAAAAGAAAATCAGATTGTGATCAGATTTTGTGACAGCAATGCTTTTTTCCAGAAGTCCACAGAGTAACTAAGGTATGCAAAGAAAGAAAACGTAAGTCATGGATTTTATAAACAATCAAACTAATCTTCATAATCATGTACTTTTGTGGAATATGGGAATAATGCACCTGTGGGCACCTTCTGCATCACGTACTATAGAATGAGCTTCAGATGACCAAAAAGACTGAAGAGACGTTAACGTAAGGTCTGGTGGATAACCAAATCATTTATGAGGGTAAACGTCTCATTACAGAAACATAAACTATCTGCAACCACACACATTAATATGAATGACACCACAGGAATGCAAAATCGAGACTGAGAAACCCTACAGGACCAACTTGACAGACACCAACCTGGTTTCTTCCTCAAGAATAAAACAGCAAGAAAAAAAAGAGGGATGCAAGCCCTACTTTAAAGAGGAACTTAAAAGGTATGTCAATTGTGGCTGGGCTTGGTGGCTCAAAATCCCAGGACTTTGGAAAGCCGAGGAGGGCTGAGGCAGGCGGATCACTTGAGGCCAGGAGTTTGAGACCAGCCTGGCCAACATGGTGAAACCCTGTCTCTACAAAAAATATAAAAATTAGCCAGGCATGGTGGCGGGCGCCTGTGATCCCAGCTACTCAGGAGGCTGAGGCATAAGAATCACTTGAACCCAGGAGACAGAGGTTGCAGTGAGCCAAGATCGTGCCACTGCACTCCAGCCTGGGCAACAGAGTGAGATTCGGTCTCAAAAAAAAAAAAAAAAAAAAAAAAAAAGAGATATGTCAATCGCAAATGGATGGCCCTCCTTTGGATCCTGCTTCAAATAAATAGTAAAAAGAAAAAAAAAATTGAACACTGATAGGCCATTTGACGAAAATAAGGAGCCAATGTTCATTTTGGGGCATTTAATAATGATATGGTAGTATTTTTTAAAGAGGTTTTATTTTTTAGAAATACATAATGAATATTTATAGTTGAAATGGTATGTATAGGCTTGATTTTAATATTGCAGAGGTTATGTATAGACAAGATTGGTCATGTGTTAACTATGGAAGCTGGGAACAATAATGGCTTCATTATATTATTCCCTCTGCTTTTGTATCTGAGATTTTCCATAATAAAATGTTTTAAAATTGTGAATTAAAAATTTTCAGATATGATAGTAAATGTCAACAGCATGATCATTTTAATAGCCAAAATGTTTGTTTTTAATTTAAAAACCAAAATTTTAATAAAACTTAAAACTAAGGTAAACACAAAAATTAAAAGCCTTTTTCTTTTACAATCACTATCTGTCACTCTCCCTGATAACACCACCAAATGAAGTCTCACTCTGAGAAGGTGGTTTTCTTTTTTTTTTTTTTTTCACTCTTGTTGCCCAGGCTAGAGTGCAATGGTGTGATCTTGGCTCACTGCAACCTCTGCCTCCCGAGGAGCTGGGATTACAGGCATGCACCACCACACATGGCTAATTTTGTATTTTTAGTAGAGATGGGGTTTCACCATGTTGGCCAGGCTGGCCTCGAACTCCTGACCTCCGGTGATCCACCTGCCTTGGCCTCCCAAAGTGCTGGGATTACAGGCGTGAGCCACCATGCCTGGCCGAGAAGGTGGTTTTCAACCTAGGATGTGCACAATCATCTGCAGAGCTTTTGAAAAATACAAATGCAGGGCTCAACTCCAGATGCACTTCATCGGTATCTCTGCTGTTGCTCCACTAGTGATTCTGATGCACACCAATGATTAAGAACCACTGTGCTAAGGCCTCTGACTCCTGAGGTGATAGTGTACTTCTTCAAAAACAGCTTATTTTTAGGCAATGTTATGTCTTCCATCAAAGACCAAGTAATTCCACTCTAGGTATATACCCAAAAGAAATGAGTGCTTATGGCCATCAAAAGACATCTACAATTATGCTCACAACACTATTTGTAATGGCCCTCAACTGGAATTAATGCAAATACCATCAGCAGTAGAATGGATAAATTATGGTATATTTACATAATGGAATAGTATACAGCAGAGAGAATGAATAATCTACAACTACACTAACAAATATGAATCAATCTCACAAACATAATGTTGAGCAAAAGAAGCCAGACACAAATGAGTATCTTTTTTTCTTTTTTTTTTCTTTTGAGCTGGAGTTTCGTTCTTGTCTCCCAGGCTGGAGTGCAATGGTGCGATCTCAGCTCACTGCAACCTCCACCTCTCGGGTTCTGGCAATTCTCCTGCCTCAGCCTCCCGAGTAGCTGGGATTACAGGTGTGTGCCACCATGCCCAGCTAATTTTTGTATTTTTAGTAGAGATGGGGTTTCACCACGTTGGCCAAGCTGGTCTCGAACTCCTGACCTCAGATGATCTGCCTGCCTCGGCCTCCCAAAGTGCTGGAATTACAGTCGTTAGCTACTGCGCCTGGCTGAGTATTTTCTACTCTATGATTCCATTTTTATATGATACAAAATATGAAAAAAGCTACATGCAAACTAGATTAAAACTTACTTGTATTTATAATATAAAAGATTGCTAAATGTATCAGGAAATGGTTACTAGGCTGAGCACCTGGGTGATGGAATAATCTGTACAACAAACCCCCGTGACATGATTTTACCTATATAACAAACCTGCAAACGTACCCCTGAACCTAAAAGTTAAAAAAAAAAAATCATCTACTCAGTGGACGAATATGCAGCCAGAGACAAAAACAGGATGCACTGTAACTGGGTAAAAGATTACAATAAAAAGAAAAACAAGGCTGGGTGTGGTGGCTCACACTATAACCCAACCACTTTGGGAGCCCGAGGCAGGCAGATCACTTGAGGCCAGGAGTTTGAGACCAGCCTGGCCAAGCATGGTGAAACCCTGTCTCTACTAAAAATGCAAAAATTAATTGGGCATGGTGGCACATGCCTATAATCCCAGCTGTTTGGGAGGCTGGGGCATGATAATCGCTTGAACCTGGGAGGTGGAGGTTGCAATGAACCGAGATCACCCCACTGCGCTCCAGCCTGGGCAACAGAGTATGGTCACGAGTCAAGCCATATTTTTCCTAAGCTCTTTAAGGTTGTACGCTGAGTTGAATAGTGTCTTCCCAAAATTCGTGTCTACCTGGTATCTGTAAATGTGACCTTATTTGGAAACAGGGCCTTTGCAGATGTAATCAAGTTAAGATGAGGTCATATTGAATTAGGGTAGGTCCTAAATCTAGCATGATTGGTATCCTTAAAAAAAGAGAAAAATTCGGACACAAACAGGTAGAATGCCATCTGATGACAGAGGCAGAGGCTGGAATGATGGTAGCTGCAAGTCAATGAAACAGCAAGGATTGCTGGCAACCATCAGAAGCCGGGAGAGAGACAAGAAACAGATTCTCCTTCAGAACCTCCAAAAGTAACTAGCCTGTCAACACCTTGATTTTGGACTTCTGGCCTCCAGAAATGTGAAAGAATAAATTTCTGTCATTTTAAGCCACCCAGTTTGTGGTAATTTGTTATGGCAGCTTTGGGAAAAGAATATAGATTATTTTTCAAAGCTGGGGTAAGCGGGGAGTTCTAGATTAATAACAAAGATAGTCCCTACATTAAACACGTGAAGATAATAGTGAGATGCTTCCTAGAGAACTGGGAAATAAATATGTCATCAATTTGGATCAGAAGAGAAATAAATGAATTCTCTTCCAAAGAAATGGATTCCAAGGTCAGAAATATCTTTCTATATAACTTGACTGAATATATTAACTTTTTGAGACCAAATGTGTCTATTAAAATAGAAATACAAAGAAACAGTCTTACAAGGAAAATGAAGACAGTACCCATTCAAGCATCGTCCAGGAGAAAGGGAGTCTCAACCAATGGATTTTGAGAATTACTACCCCATGGCAAGGCTAGAATGAATCAGGCTATCTTAGCTTGGTGCCATTAAACATTCAAATTATAAAACTTCTTTTGTTCCAACTCCTTACTCACCAAGCAATCTTCTGATTATAATTTGGCTTCCCATGTGGATTGTCTACAGGGAAACAATGAGCTGGTCAGGCTCACAGGAGTATCTGGGCCTTCTGGCAGTTATGTTTTTCATTGTAAATTAATAAATTGACATTCTCCAATGTACCAGTGTCTTAGGAGCCTGTTAGTTCCGGTTAGCACTCCCTGTCTAATCAACTCTAGTATACTGATTAAACTGAGTTTCTGAATATGCAAAGGAGAGGCTGGACATTGGCCAGTAGCAAGTTACTGAGGCAAATGCTGCTGCGCAGGCCTCGGTCCAGATGAATAGGCAGCCTTCCCTAAGAACACCCAACTTCAAAGCATTTTTTCATCTTAACTTGTCTAAATATGCATAGTTGTTATTCTAAGGACTAGTATGAACTTTTAACCCTGTTTTAATGCTGGTGCCCTCTGAGAGTTAACTAAGTAAGCTATTAATATAAGGAGGGGTTCTAAGACTTATCAGAAAGTGTGAATAATTTCAAGATGTGTATGGACTACAAAAGTGTGAAAACTCCCCCTTCCAAGAAATTACCACATTAACAATCTTAACTTCGTCATTTTATGGTAAATATGGTTCTGATAAGAATTTGTGCACACATCTCAAAATCCATCTTGTCCCAAGTAAATAATTCTTATGTTTTAACAGTAATCTGTAACAAGTATGGTTAAATGTGGTAGAACATTTAGTGAATCTACCAGGTCTACCCATAATCAAACTCTTCTAGAATCCTTGTTACCCTGCAGAAGCTTTCACTCCTTATTCTCCCAGCCATTTTTCAGACCTGCCAAAGTGCTTCGGTTGTGAATTTAAAATTTGGTATTTTGAGATGGCAACAGAGTCTTTTAAATATATTAGAAGCCCTGTCTTTACTGGTTTAAACTTCCATACACGGAAAATAATCTGTTTGTCTTCTATACAGGTTGAATATCCCTTATCAGAAATGCTTGGAACCAGAAGTGTTTCAGATTTCAAATATTTTTGGATTTTTGAATACCTGCATTATACTTATGGTTGAGCGTTCCTAATATGAAATGTGAAATGCTTCAATGAACATTTCCTTTGAGTGTCACATTAGTGGTCAAAAAGTTTTGAATTCTGGAGCATTTCAGACTTTGAATTTTCAGATTAGGGTGCTCAGCCTGTCTTAAAAATAGTTGAGTTCAATAAAGTAATGAAAACAAGTCAATGAACCAGAACTATGTGACTGAATTATAAATCTCTGGCTAGGCGAAGATTAGTGGCTAGCTGTAGAAGTAGATTGCTTTAAACTAAATTTGAGGCTGTGCCAAATTGAGATTCCCAGGGATTTTTATCATAGAAAGAGAGAAAAGGAAGAAATCTTGTTTTGCTATCAGGGCAGAGCCAGATCTTAAGGACACAAAAGTACAGCAATATCTCACGATTCAGTCTTCCAATTTATGAGGACTCAATTCCTGGAGTCAAAGAGCACTTAAAAAGTAGAGGAAGAGAAGCAAAACATTTAAAGTCTGTTAAATTCATGAGTGTGAAGACTCTGGTTTAAAAGTTTAAAATGAAATTGGAACAAGGTGTTTAAAGAGAGATTATTTAAAAACACTGCCTATTATTCTTTACCATTCATTATTAATTAACATTGCCCATCAGTCATTATTACAGCATAGAGGCTCTATCAGTTTTTCAGCAGGGCAGAAATAAATACCAGCAACACAATTAACCAGGAAGTGTAAATTGACACTGGAGCCACAGTATGGCCAAATATAAAAGTATTCACTTAACAGACTGTTTCTTCTCTACCCTTCACAGAGTAGAACTACTTGTGTGCAGAAAAGTTAGAATGAAGGGTAATTCTTCTGATAAAGTTTCAGAGGGTCCTTAGGCATTTATAAAAACACCATGTTCTATGGTGGCCCATCCTTTGTACAGTAACACTGGAGGGATGTTGGGGGCAGGGTGAGAGGCATGTATCCCAATTGAATGAATAAATGAGTCTTCTATATAAGGCCCAAGGAAGGAAGCAATGCCTAGCCTAATTGGCAAAGAAAGAGATATGCCCACTTGTCATTCTTATTCAGAAGGCACTTCTATGTTGAAACACATTAAAATACAAGAATAAAAATATCAACCGCCCCTCAACTAGCTGTGTAGTACCACAAAAGCAAGTATCAATCAGTCTGCTATCACAAGATAAGTTCTGTCCTTGATTAGTCAAGATGAACTCTTTATTTTCAAATCCTATTATTAACGTATATAAGGATGGAAGCCTCAAATTTAAAGCCAAAGGATGCTGGCAAACTGACACCCTGAGAGAGTAAAAAACAAACTAGAAATAGATAAAAGATTCTTTCACACACAGACTGGGAACAGAATAGGGAACCCAGAAATAAGACCGCACACCTACAATCATCATCTTTGACAAACCTGACAAAAAAACAAGCAATGGGGAATAGATTCCCTGTTTAACAATGGTGCTGGGAGAACTGGCTAGCCATATGTAGAAAACTGAAACTAGACCCCTTCCTTACATCTTATACAAAAATTAACTCAAGATGGATTAAAGACTTAAATGTAAAACCCCAAACTACAAAAAACTTAGAAGAAAACCTAGACAATACCATTCAGTACATAGCCATGGGCAAAAATTTCATGATGAAGAGGCCCAAAGCAATTGCAACAAAAGCAAAATTTGACGAATGGGATCCAATTAAAGAGCTTCTACACAGCAAAAAACAAAAACAAAAAAACCCCTAAAAAACAAAAAAAACTATTGAGTAAACAGACAACTTACAGAAAGGGAGAAAAATTCTACAATCTATGAATCTGACGAAGATCTAATATCCGGCATCTATAAGGAACTTAAATTTACAAGAAAACAACCCCATTAGAAAGAGGGCAAAGGACATGAACAAACATTTCTCAAAAGAAGACATATATCACTGATCATTAGAGAAATGCAAATCAAAACCACAATGAGATACCATCTCACACCAGTCAGAATGACTATTATTAAAAAGCAAAAAAAAAAAAAAAAAAAAAAAAAAAAAAGATGCTGGCAAGGTTGTGGAGAAAAAGGAACGTTTTTACACTGTTGGTGGGAGTATCAACCATTATGGAAGACAGTGTGGTGATTCCTCAAAGACCCAGAGACAGACATACCTTTTGACCAGGCAATCCCATTACTGGGTATATACCCAAAGGAGTATCAATCACTCTATTATAAAGACACTAGCAAAGACATGGAATCAGCCTAAATGCCAATTAATGGTAGATGGGATAAAGAAAATGTGGTACATATACACCACAGAATACTACGAAGCCATAAGAAGGAATGAGATCATGTCCTATGTGGGGACACTGATGAAGCTGGAGGCCATTATCCTTAGCAAACCAATGCAGGAACAGAAAACCAAATACCACATGTTCTCACTTATAAATGGGAGCTAAACAATGAACATACATGTAGACACATAGAGGAGAACAACTCATACTGGGGCCTATCGAAGGGTGAGCGTGGGAGGAGGGAGAGGCTCAGGAAAAATAACTAATGGATAGTAGGCTTAATACCTGGGTGATACAATAATCTGCATAACAAACCCACACATCCTTTACCTGTACCTTCGAATGTAAAATAAAAGTTTTAAAAAAAAGATTACTTTCAATTACCGAAAAGGAAGTTGGCCAACAATCTAACAAAAATGTGTCTCCTGTGACTATACATGGGATTACTAAGATGAAAGCACATCTAAAAATCTAGCAACTTACATGGCTGTATGAAGCCTTTGGAGAAATAGTTGGCTTCATCTCACCAATTCTGCATCTTGCTTTGGTTTTATAGGTTTATCTGAAATACTTGGAACCAGAAGCATTTGAGATTTTGGACTTTTTCAGATTTTAGAATACAGTAAGTCCTCACTTAACATCATTTATAGGTTCTTGGAAACTGTGACGTTAAGCAAAACAACATAAAACAAAACCAGTTTTACCACAGGCTAATTGATACAAACAAGAGTTAAATCCCTGTGGCATTTATCTGGTGATAAAAACATCATCAAATTTCTAAATAATGACCCTAAACACTTCAAATATTAAGCACTGAAATAAAATGTGAGCTATACATACAATTTAGAAAGATTATCATTACTTTTTCAGGTGGAGTTTTGCTCGTCACCCAGGCTGTAGTGCAATGGCACAATCTCGGCTTGCTGCAACCTCCTGCTGGGTTCAAGTGATTCTCCTGCCTCAGCCTCCCGAGTAGCTAGGAATACAGGTGCCCGCTACCATGCCCAGCTCATTTTTGTATTTTCAGTGAGACGGGGTTTCACCATGTTGGCTGGGCTGGTCTCAAACTCCTGACCTCAGGTGATCCACCCGCCTTGGACTCCCAAAGCGCTGAGATTACAGGCGTAAGCCACCCTGCCCGGTCACATTTGAGAAAGAATCATAAAAACAAGATAATTATTAACCCAATTTTTGGTGAAGAGGTGGTGGGTTAAATCAAGGAATAAATGTTTTGCAAAGTGAAAATTGTAAGGAGCACACCCTATCACCAGGCAGTTCTAAAACAATGACAAAGACGGAAGGCTCACTGAGCGGTTTCATACTGCATCCTTTAACTGTCTTGCCTTTGTATGATTACTATGTATCTTACAAATTTTTATTTTACGACAATTTGTATTCATTCATTCATTTTCCAACTTGCTTTTCCCAGTTCAAGGTCACAGCTGGTCAGAGCACAAGACAAGAACCCACCATGGACAGGATGCTATTCTATCGCAGGGCACACTCAGACACACCCACACTCATTCAGACTGGGACAATTTAGACATGCCAGTTGAGCAATCCTCCCACCTCAGCCTCCCAAGTAGCTAGGACCACAGGTGCGCACCACCATGCATGGCTAATTTTTAAATTTTTTGTAAACATGGGGTCTCCTTGTGTTACCCAAACTGGTCTTGAACTCCTGGGCTCAAGTAATCCTTCTGCCTCGGCCTCCTAAAGCACTGGGATTACAGGAGTGAGCCACTGAGCCCGGCCAATGTTTTTTCTTGTCAATTTTATGACAAAACACACTATTTGATGACCTGCTGTATTTGTGTTATACTTATGGTTATACATCTCTAATCCAAAAATCCATGCTCCAATGAATGTTTCCTTTGAGTGTCATGCCTGCGCTCAAAGAGTTTTGAATTCTGGAGCATTACAGATTAGGGATGCTCAGCCTGTGCTAGCTAGATTACGCATTTCTTTGCTTGTGAGCTTTGAGAATCTTCTTCTACCTTTTCCCACTGTATAAATTTCACTAGAAGAATAAAAATTCAAGAACAATCCAAGAAAGGAAAGAGATGACTTATTAAATGTATTCAGGCTCTGTCCGATCCCCATTAAGAGGTAAAAGAGAAACTAAACATTGGTAAGTGCCTATTATTTGCTGGACACTGTGTTAAGCATCTGTTTCCTTTATTAGAGTTCAGGTAAACACTATTTTTATATCTGCTAATGACAAACCTGAAAATGCTCAATTTTAAAAGGCAAGCTTTTAGAGGCAAAGTTTTCTAACCTGTTTCATTATCAGACAGAAAGGAGGCATCAAGAAAGGACAAGAATGAATAATGAGTTCATCCCAGACTTCTAAGGCCAACACTTGATAAATAACTAGGAGTTCACTAAAATAGTGAAGAACATCTCTTACATTAGGTTTTCTTACAGAAACTGAAGAACCAAAGATCTCTAAACTTTGTCTCATGATGAATTATTTAAAAAGTCAATATTTAGGATAAGGCAGATAGAAACAGAAAAAAAAACACCTTAGAATTTAATTTAAATAGAATCAGATGCTGGGTATGCATTTTCTCAGCAATAATGTTAATACCGCAGAAAAACTAGACAGCAAAGTTAAGGCACTTTAATTATAAAATGAGATTAAATGAAATTACAAGTCTATCACAGGAGGTAATGTTGCCTACTTGGATTTGTCTTGAGACTTTCAACAGGTCAAGACAATGTCACATTTATCTGGAATTGCTGGAGGATCAAGAATCATTTTATCACATGAATGGGTTTTTAAAATACTGAAGTTTATTAAAACCAAAATAAATGATTTAAACTGCTTATCATAGAATAACAAAAAATATATGCATCCATGCTTTTACACAATGCTTTCCTAAGGATTCCAGTTTACTACATATAGCCATATTATACAGGACTTATTGTAAATCAGTTTCTCTCTCTCTTTTCCCTATTTCCCATCAACTCTGTGAGCCACTGTAGTTATGAATAACCTGTTAAAAACTCTCCAAAGAGCAAATGCATAGCTTTTGTGCTGAGCTGAATGACAACTGTATGAGGTGCTATGCGAGATACTCAGGGCTTTTTTCCCAGTGCAGTTCAGGGTAAACAGTTACATGCTCGAAAAGACTGAAGTGGTGGGAAGACTGGTCCTTGATTCTGCGTAGGGTTACCATACTTGTTAGCATATTTTTATAAAAATTACAACATCTAGTAGTTCACTCATGCTCTGTGTAACTTCCTAGCAGGCTTCATCTATTAGCAAACAATTATGATTTAAAAGGTTTTCATCATTCCTATGTAGTATTAGATCACCACCTTGTGTCAGAAACCTGAGCAAATAGCAGACATCTATATTTTAGATACCTTAGTTGTCCAAAGCTTTACTGTCCAGTCAAACGATGAAGTGACAAAAAGATGTGAGAAGTCTACTGCTCCAACAGCTGCATGACAATGGATGCCAGTGATTGGTCCTTGATGCCCCTCAAACATCTCACTGATTCCAGCTTTGCTAATTTCATAAAAGTGAAAATGTTAGAGAAGTCTCCTATAAGTAGACCAATTACATACACATTTTATTATAGGTTTATATATCAGGCCTTGACTTCATTTTGACAGACTTAACTCTGTGCTCATAACTTATCAGAATTAACTTTGTTGAGTGTTATTCCATCCACATTTGGTAACTCTACTAAAGCAATAAGTACCTTTGGAACTGTAAACATCATGCTGTTGACAACAGACCTCAAAAGTCCAATATCTGAAGTGGTGTAATAGAAACAAAGATACCCTACATTTAAGAGAGACAATCTGGGCTACTTTTAAAACAAAAGCTTTGAAGTGAAGGTGATCTATATTTGAGATGAAATCTGGACACTCAATTTTTTTTTAAGGAAGCAATAAGGTACAGCTAGACAATTTCAAAACAGACAGAACGGAAGGAGAAATATTACTCAGTTTAAAATATGTATGTGACATTACTGTACAATTATCAGGAGAATGAACTAATGCTTAAAGTCCAAATAAATCAAAAGGGGAAACAGCTGAAAATCTCATTTATAAGTCTATAGGTCAATATTGGCATGTGCATATTGTATTTGTAACTACTGAATGTTCCTGCCTATCACTAACTTACGTGAGTACATGCACACACACAAAACCACAACCCACAAAATCTAAACACATCATGAATCCAAAATTATCTTTTATACAAAAAGGTATTAAGTTTTAATTTTATGTGCCTGAACACAAAAAATCTGTCACAAATAACAAGTAGATCTACGACAGATTTCTACTTAAATAAGACAATTTGTTTCAATGGGATTAAAGGAGGAATTTTAAATTATTGCAAATTCCAGTTTAGGTTTACCTGCCATGGCGGCATGCTGTGTACACAGAACCTTCTTCACTCCCAACAACAAAGTTGTTGACATCTCCAACAGGGAAGGACATAGATGTCACAGCTACTGCTTTTGACTGTTTATGAACCAACTCCATGCTATCCTACATAGAAAAACCTGAGAAAATTAGTTTGTAAACTTGCAATTTTAAATTTCTGTAGAAAAACTTCTAGTCTTTGATTGTAAACAATTCTTTTATTATTTACATAAATCTAAATTAAATGAAGCAGGTTTCAAAGTAAAATATATATATATGAAACAAACTTATATTAAACACGTTTCAGCTTATAAGCTGTTGTAACACTACTATAAAACAGTTTATGAGAAACATAAGTTGAGGTACACATACACTTAAAACATAACATTTGCCTCAAAATTTCAGTTTCCCAAGTTTAACCCACCTGTGGATGGGAAAGCATGTCCAGACTCCATGAACAAATTTTTCCATCAGTAGAGATGCTAATCAGATTGTGAGCATTTTGTGTTCCAACAACATTTACACAATATACAGGGTGCTAGAGATATTAAAAAAAGTTTTCAGGGATTATTGTACCAAAAAGCAAAACAAAATTTTTAGTCTAATTATAAGCATTCTGTTTATTATCGAGTCTCATAACTTGTGGGTATTCTTAATGTGAAGTTTGCTATTAACAAAATGTTGTCGCAGAAGAGAGATGAGTTTCTAATAAATCTCCAAAAAAAAAAATAGCCTTCATTCTTGGTTGCTAAATGGTGAGGAATTCATACACCAAAGGAAGCACATTCTGAGATGACTCTGATGGCCACTACTAAGTATTATAGCTAAGGATGAAGGAGCACAGAAGCCTAATGGAAATAACCTTATTTACTTACTGTGTGTGCAGCTGCTGACAGTGGAGTTCTTTGCACTGGAGTTCTTTTATTGCTACGGTTATCCCAAAGCACAATTTGGCCTGAATATGTACCACCAACAACAAGATTTGGATGAAATTTTGCAAATGTGGCAGACATCACAGCTGACTGCAAATAAGTAAGATTTTTATACTTGAGATTCAAATGGAAAATGCCTGACAAGTTCTAAAAATCAATCTATTATCCGAAACATTTCTTTCTTCATTGTATGGTATTAGAGGTTATAAAAACAACTAAGTAAATTAATTAAAAGTTTTCACTGTTTCAGAAATATAAAAATATATCTTTAAGATATTTTTTGCTTAAAAGTCCAATGCAATGGCTGTTTACTATTAAGTAGGTTTAACTAATTTATCAAAGAAAGCAAAAAGTTATTTCAGTTAACTACAGTATTAAAAAGATAACTAGCCCTGCATTAGACTCTGACAGTAATCTAACAGTAGAGTACACGCTAGTTTAATTCAAGTTAAGTGTTTACTCAAGATTAAGACACTATTAAAAGATTTTAAATTATGCAATCAGAAAAGGCTTGCAAATTCTAACCTTCTACTAAATCTGCTTTAAAAATCTGCATCTGTTTTCTACTTCAACCATATGTTTCTACTTAAAACCATCTAGTTCCAATTCCTCAGGCCATGTATAAGTAATTCAGTGGGCCAACCATCTAATTGTATATTCACAAATAAGTTCCTGGGAAACTCCCTGTAGGAAAGACATTTTATAAAAGATTCCTTTTATACAGTCAATCACCATAACAGAAAATCACAACTGCAAAGGACTTTAGGTGTGATTAAACATTATAAGAGATGTCAGAAAAGCTACAAAAGGCAGATCATGTTGAACTGAGAAGTCTTCAGTTTTCTGTTAACATCTGTTTGCAAATATGGAGTGGTTTAGTAAAATGCCAATCCAATGAAATCATTATGTTGACAAGAAAAGAAAAAAGGCACTTGTCTTAATTCATCAATGAATTCTTAAACTTGAGGCGAAGACTGTTAAAAGACCACCATACCTGGCAGTGAAACACATACTCTGGGGTAGTTTTTTTGTATTTCATATTCCATACAAGGGCCACACCATCAGGCTCATGAGGGGCATCTTCATTGTTGTTATAGGAAGCCACGAGTAACTCCGGATACTGCTCAGAAGAATCAAGAAGAAAAGAAATGCTATGCATAATAAGAACTGTTTTATAATCCTAGTTATTTGTCTTTATCAGATTATTATTCTGCAAATACAAATACCTAACATTTCATCAAGAGAGACATCTCTAGCATTATGCCTACTGGGACATTAGTACAATTTTAAATTAGAACAGTTAATTATTTTAAATGTTTTAATGTTAAAACATTTAATTAAAATATGTGTCCAAATTTTACACAAAGGATTTGGTGAGCAACTGAAATTAGTAAAACTGGCCTGTATCATAAAGTCCTGAATTTTAAATATAAATAATGCTTCTAATCTTTCTTCCAAAGTACATAAGATGAGTATGTTAACATTAGAACCATCATCCATTAATTTTAAATAACACATATTGATTTATTATACAAAATTCCCATAATTAAAATAAAATGACCTGCTAATTATAATTTTAAAAATGAGTTAAGAGCGGCCTATTTTGTTATATTTTACCTGAGATGACCAATCCAAACAACTAACCACCCGATGCTTTGACCAACGTTCGTCAAAAAATTGTCGATTTAATGACAGTTTAGCACCTGCTTGAATCTCTCTACAAAAAAAGACCAAACCCCCCAAAAAGATGGTGTTATAACTTTTATCACTCTTAATCTTAAAGTAATTTAACATTATTGAAGCTAAAAATCTTAGCAACTAAACATTACCCTTCTTTGTCTTCCAAATCTCTCCCACTATAGTCAAAGAAGATGTTAATCTGCTCAGAAAGAGCTCTTTCTACAATTCTTGTAGAATGGTCAAAGAAACTTAAAAATTCCTCAGAGTGCAAGATTTGTTGCTTTTCTTCTTCAGTCAGCTCATGAGGGGGAGCTGGAAAATAAATAATTTTTTGAAGTATGATTTATGTCAGGCAAATCACGTCAACTCACTATCACAGTATGGATCAATGTATGTTATTATTTTTCAATCAGATTCACTTATTTGATTTACAGCATTTCATCCTACTTTAATACATAATAAAAGGAATCTTAACAGAAATCAACAAAATGTTTTAAAGTTTAATTCCTTAAGATACCTTTACTATCATTTTCCTCATCTTTCTTTAAAGTTTTCTCTTCTTCAGGTTCAATAGGTGGTTTAGGAGCCACTACATCATCATCTTCCTCTTCATCTGAAAAAAAAAAAAAAAACAAACAAAAAAACAAAAAAACAGAATGATATAATAAATTATTTTAATGAAAATAGCTGGTAACTTTTGAGACAGTATTTCAGAAGGTATCACAACTCCCAAGATATAAGCAAAAGTAAACCACTGACCGGACAGAACAAGTACAAATAATAGGGATTTTTATCAACATAATCAAATAGTTAAGTGGAACCTCTTGGTTTTTATACATACCTATGTGGTACCTCAGCAACAGCCACCCTAAATTCTGTAGCTACATAAACTGAAATAAGATATATAAGCAACTAGGATGAATTCCTCATTAAGTCTCTAAAAGCTTGCAAGCATTTATCATTCTAGACAGAACAACATGCAACTCCTGCATAGTTTTATATAGCATGCTGACACATTAATGCTGTAGAATGAGGAAAATCAAATGTCTAAAATAGCCTACAGAGCTGGCTGCTTACTTGTGATCTGAAACCATCAGTGTCTAATGGGCCTTCATAAGGCATAAAGATGGCTTACATTAACTCTCAGGTTGCTATTTGAGAGGCAGATTTTGAAGATAATAGCTATAAGACCACATTTTCTATTCTGTCATTTTAAATGCAAGTCTCATTATCTATTGTTACATGATGTGGCAATAAGCACTTAAAATAATGTTTTCTTAATTTGAATAAAAGTATACATTGGGATAATATACAATGTTTACAAGACTTCTAAAAAATTACTAAATCTCTTACATCCCAAACCAGGAAGTAATTTAAAATCATTTATTTTAAAATGTTATAGAACACATAACCCTGCCCACCTTTTCTTTTGCTACACACTGAGATGGGTTTTTATGAAGAAAATGTTTATTTTTATTGCCTAAACACATGCGTTATTTGTCTATAAGGGAAAGGCAGCAGGCATCTGCACCAGAGTGCAGTTCAAGTAATGACAACCTATTCAATAAGGGGACTTTACTTGCTGTAGTCATTTCCCTGACTCATGTTCAAAATTATCTAAAACACACATACATACGACGTACACAAAAGAATGGTCAAGAATGGGAACCAGCTGCCAAGTCATGGTCCCAGCAGCCAGGCCAGCTGACTAGACAGCAACAACCAGATGGCACTGCTGGGATTGTGTCTTTCTGCTACAAGGTGGCAATGGGATGGCATAACATTCTTCCGCTTCACTGCTTCCAATCCTGTGTCTCTCCCCAATGGCAGGCCTGTGCAATTACCAGCACTCCAGGAGGCCTAAAGACAAGCCTTTACCCAGCAAACAAAATGCAGCTTGTAGGCCACACCAGCTGCCAAACCACACACATACTGTTAGGTTTAGAGAGCTATGAAAATCTTTCTAACTCTATAGTATAGGCAATAAAAATATAACTGTACCTGTGGAAAGAAAGCTTTAAATGACACTGTATAATGCACACAATGATACAACCTCCAACTTAATCAAAATGATAATGACGTATGCCAATCCTACATTACTTGAAATTGAGCGATTTTTGTGTTCTGACAAGTTTACAGAACTAGGATAAATGGCACGAGTGATTTCAATATATGCTCATACTTTTGAACCAAATGGTGAAGGTTAAAATTTTTCCTTTCAACGGCCTCAATCAGCCACAAAGGAAAACAGTAATCACTGTCTTTTCAGCCAGCCCAACCACATTTGTCAGCCCTTTCTCCGTCAACGCAGCCAGAGCAATCAACCTGCCAAACATTCAGAATGGAAAAACAATCTGAAAATACAGGGTATAATGCACCTGCCAGTGAAAATGGCCATTTCAAGAAAAGCTAGTGATCTCAGTGACCCTGCTGAGGAGGCGGTGGTGCAAAGGGGAAAGAACACGTAAAAGAATTCTTAGTGATCGCCACTCTCTTGCACATTGACACTTCCTTACAAAGCATGCCAATTATAGCTTTTGTGCTACTTAAAAAAATGAAAGCTTTTTGGGGCAAAATAATCACATAGAGAAACAGAAAGACACTACTCCTTTTTAGATGAATTCTCATATACAACGAATTATTAATCTGAAAATAGTATAATTGGTAGCAATTCTATACTATATTACTCAAGCATTAGAATGAAATTCTTCCATAAAGTCACCTGCAGGTGTAATGTAACAAAATAGTTTAATTACATTTAACTTACAAGCTGTCTTTTAGAATAATAGGACATCTATTTCAACTAAAAATTCACTGTAAGAATATACATATATTTTCCACTTTCTGCTAATGCTACCAGTTATCCTAATCAAGTGTTTACTAGTAGGTTTCACTGTATGTAAATCCTAAAATCAAAGATAGGAATTTTGAATCACCCAGGACAGGTCATTCTTGAGCACTATGAATTATAAATTACAGCCTCCTACCCACATCTTATTCTCCTCCTTCAACTTTGTTGTATTATACGGCCTCTAAGTACCATTTCCAATGACAGGTGTCAAATTCCTGTCATAATGCATATGGTCAGTACTTTAGTGCTAAGTGACCTCATAATTTACATATTTAACAGAAAAGATCTTGTTTATAGACACTCTTTTCCTTTTAAAATTTAAAATGTAGATGAAATATGTCAGACAGTGATCTATATCTGTGTACTATACAGCATTTGCCATGCCTATTTGTCCATATAAATTATTTCAGTTGTAGCTGAATCATGAGTATCAACTATTTAAATACATGCTCTCAGGGTTTTATTTTAGAATTAAAGTACATACCCTCCCTTTCTACATGGATTAAAACCAGACTTTAAAACTATCATTGGTACTTAAGCTTCATAAAAATGATTAAATAAATTTCAAGGAACATAAAAACAAATGATAATGCTGTTCTTAAAAACTGTAAAATGCAATCTTTTTGCTATAAGGTTGATCTTAAATAATTATCAAATTTACCAAATATTTGGCAAAAATGCCTAACATCAATAACATCAGATTAAAAAATGTTCTTCTGAAACAAATATGCTTTTCTTGTTATAAGCTAATATGATAGCTACCAAAGGACTATTAACGTGGCCAAAAATATAAAATTACAGTTCTGAAGATTTTCTAAGCTAGTCCTTATTACATGATAAGCTATATTTAAAACTGGAAAAGACTGTAACAGAGCAGGAAGACTGAAAAATGGGGCTGCCATGTCACATCAATTTATTGATGAATATTCATTACAATATGCTAAAGTGGTTAACTCCACGCTTTCTCTGACAAGGAATCTAAGGTTATAAACTGAGCAGTAAAGAGTGCATAAAAGTAGCAGTTACTTTTAAAATGACAAATCTCTTGTCAATGAATGCTAAAACTAGGTTTAATGAACCACTGAATTTTTACTTTGAGTTAACATCAAAATTGTGATGTATTTTGGTGAGACAGAAAGAAAAGCTGTTTTGTAAATTAAGCTGCACCTACAAGTAACACGAAAGAATGAAATTCCAGTTGTTGGAATAATCTCTTACAATGGAGTAAGTTAATCAAAGTTAAATCATCTGTGAAATGGGTGGCTTTTGTTAAACTGAAGGAAGGAGACTTCAGAGCAAGTTTTCTCATCTGTACCTCACAGTACATTTAAGATACATTTTACATTTAAGATACATTTAAGATAAGCTAAGAGTATGCCACAAAGCATACTCTGAATTATTTTAAAATATTACAAGACATTTAAAAGGTAATATACAGTATCTTAGAAAATCCTTACTGAACAAACATTGCTACTTATGAATCTATCACTTTTAATGATTAAATCTCAATATGAAGTGAAAAACAAATCCCATCATTAGTGCACTGTTGTTTAGGAAATATGTTTGTTGTCTATCAATTTACTATGTAGTTTTATTGTACTGGTGCATCCCATTTTAAGATAACTTAATATCCTATGAAAAATCCCTAACTTACAAGGTAGTCTGGTTATTCCTGGTATAAAGGAAGCTGACACTGAGTTCTAAAAGTCAGGACATTTGCTGCATATAAAAATATGATTTGACTTATAAAAATTCAACTTATGAATAACTTCACAAACAGCTATGAAAATATTAGAGGAAAATGCTTTAATCATTAGTTTAAAAATACAGATTACATAGGAATGATTTTCCTTTAATATTTTCAAAAAATCCCTTCTTTTCTGGGTCAGCTTCATTTTGAATCACTCTATTTCAATCCATTTGTCCATCACTTCATCTTCTTATACCTTACTCTTTAAAATCAGATGCATATTAAAGAGAATCTTCATTGGGACAAAGTTTCATGAATCTATCAATGGAATCCATTCCCTTTCTTTTTTTACACCATCTAGAATAAGATGCAAGGTCACTTGGGTTTCTTTGGCTCTTCAACAAGGGAAAAATACACAGCTGACTTTTTAATCATTAATGATTTCAATACAGATGTAATGCTAACTTGGGGGGAAAATAAGAAAAGACTAATAGTTTAATTATACCACTTCCTTTAACACAAAATTTGTCTCTCTGTAGTTCTTTTTTTTTTTTTTTTTTTTTTTTTTAAGAGATGGGGTCTTGCTATGTGCCTAGGCTGGCCTCAAACTCCTGGGCTCTAGTGATCCTCCTGTCTCAGCCTCCTGAGTACCTGGGACTACAGGTGCACACCACCTTGACCAGTCACAGTCCTTTTTATATAAAATTTGGGTTTTATTTTCGCAGTATTAGCACCCTTACATAGGTCTTGTTATCTGTGATTTCATCAAATATTATATTTTTCTGAGGCCAGGGTTTCAGATATGCTGATTAGTCTTTCAATCAAGATTAAGAACAAATGCTTCAATTTTCAATTTTGTTTATATTCTTATAGGTCCTCTGAGGGTTAAAACTAATTTATTAAATGTGTTATTCATTCCAAAATCTTTTAAAAATCCATTTTATTTAATTAATTTATTTGAGACATAGTCTCACTCTGTCGCCCTGGCTTGAGTGCAATGGCACAATCGTGGCTCAATGCAACCTCTGCCTCCTGGGTTCAAGCAATTCTGCCTCAGCCTCCCAAGTAGTTGGGATTACAAGTATGTGACAACACACCTGGCTAATTTTTGTATTTTCAGTACAGATGGGGTTTCACCATGTTGGCCAAGCTGGTCTCAAACTTCTGACCTCTGGTGATCTGCCCCACCTCGGCCTCCCAAAGTGCTAGGATTACAGAAAAATCCATTTTAGATAAGGTAGATGTATTAACCAGAAGGCATACAAATTTGGTCTTCTGGGAGTGAATTCCAAATGTTAAGATCATGCAATAAGTGATTACAAGATAATCACATATATTAATATTCTACACACAATAAAGCTAATCAACAGGTATTGAAGAAAACATATCTGGCTACTAAGCCAATACCAACAGTAATTATAAACTCCTTCACAGATAAGAAAGTGGAATGGAATAAGAAAAATGGTACTTCACTAGAAATCAAGTGCCAGTTTCTGGATGTATGCCCGATATTCTCTCAGACGGTGGACTTAGACTCACCAAGTAATCTCCTTGAACCTCAGTTTCCTCAGAGTAAACAAGCTGATTAGATTAGGTAACCTTCAGGATTTCTTTTTCCTTTAATAATCTTTCAAAAAATAGCCAAAAAAAAAAAAAAATCCATACAGAAGAAGTGAATAAGAAAAAATAATGCCATTTTTTCAAAAGAGTTAAAACTTTTAAAAAGGTAAAGAAAGTAACTTTTCCAGGAGTGTATCTGTGGGCACCACATTCTTGCCAAGAGAAGCTTTTCACCTGCTGAGAAGAAAATCGACTGAAGTCACGTGGTGCTAGTCAATTTCATTCACAGTAGGCGCTTTAAGACAGCAAAGCACCACAGTTCAGAAACAGTACTACCAACTTACAGAGTAAACTGGAAAGCAAGAAGGTGGCCAGAAGAGTGAAAAAGAAAAAACAAGGCAGAATAAAAACTGCTTTTTTAAAGGAATAGGCTTGGCCATTTTTATTTAAAAAAAGAATACAAAAGAAAGGTAAGAGTTAAGTCTACGACCAATTTTTACCTTCAATTTGGTAAGTCACGGATTTCTGTAGGCATGGATTTTACTGCCTACAGAAGTTTAATTTGCTGTCTGTTACACTCCAACTGTGATTTCACCAATTTTGTTTCATGGTGAGTTCTGGAATTCATTACATAATTCTTAAATGGGAACCAACCAGGCAAAGTTTGAGAACCACTGTATTAACGTGATGGGTAAGCACAAGAACAGTTAAGCGCACAGTGTTTCCATTATAAAACCTTAATTTCAAGGTTTTTCTCTTTCCTTCTTTCTAAAACTTATACACTTTGGGAAAAGAAACTTAATGTAAGAGCTCCAGACATGAAAATAACTGTAATGATATAGAAAACAAATTATCTCATTTTTTCCCCCAAAGGATACTGCCCAAATATCTCATTTTTATAAATATTTCCAAAGGGTTAAGGATAGCTCCATGGTATCAGGATGCTTTTTTTTCCCTTCTCCTTCACTTATATACCTCAACCTGTAACTAAAAGGACAACAAATCCAAAGAAAGGATAATCTAGTGCCTTTACATAGAGCAAATACTCAATAAGCTTGTAGAATCAGTGCTAGACAATATTAACTAAACTACTTACTATAGGTTACTCATAAAACAACTCATAAAAACATGAGTTGCTACTTCAGTGGCAAGAGAAAGCACATCGTAGAATCAGTCATATTTGGTTTACAATCATAGCTACTAGCTCTGTGATGCTCGATAAACTACCTCTTTCAGTTTCAGCTTCTTTGTGTGTAAACAAAACCAATACCTAACTTTCAGGGTTTTGGTGACAGCATTACAGATGATGTAAAGTGTCTCACACTATGCCTGATAAGTGGTAGGCACTTCTTGGTGTTATAATTTTTAGTCATCAATTTAAATAAGAAGTTTGGAGACGGCCGGGGCAGTGGCTCACACCTGTAATCCCAGCACTTTGGGAGGCACAGGCGGGCGGATAACGAGGTCAGGAGATCGAGACCATCCTGGCTAACATGGTGAAATCCCGTCTCTACTAAAAATACAAAAAATTAGCCGGGCGTGGTGGCGGGTGCCTGTAGTCCCAGCTACTCGGGAGGCTGAGGCAGGAGAATGGTGTGAACCCGGGAGAT
Source organism: Homo sapiens (assembly GCF_000001405.40). Classification (NCBI taxonomy): domain Eukaryota; kingdom Metazoa; phylum Chordata; class Mammalia; order Primates; family Hominidae; genus Homo; species Homo sapiens. The sequence goes on along the minus strand of NW_025791761.1, from coordinate 148,692 downwards.
GGAGCTTGCAGTGAGCCAAGATCGTGCCACTGCACTCCAGCCTGGGCCACAGAGCGAGACTCTGTCTCAAAGAAAAAAAAAAGAAGTTTGGAGACATATTCATTGGAACCAAAATATTAACAATGGGTTGTACACAGCAGTATCAAAAACATTTCCTCTCTATATCCTTTCTGTACTTCTAAATTCTCTATGATATACCACTATAGTAATTAGAAAAAACTATTTTTAAAAAATGAAAATAGTTGAAAAAAATGAAAATCTTGGCTGGATGTGGTGGCTCATGCCTGTAATCCCAGCACTATGGGAGGCCAAGGCGGGCAGATCACTTAAGGCTAGGAGTTTGAGACCAGCGTGGCCAACATGGCGAGACCCCCAAGTCTACCAAAAATACAAAGATTAGCTGGCAGTGGTGGCGCACGCCTGTAGTCACTGCTACTCAGGAGGCTGAGGCAGGAGAATCACTTGAACCTGGGAGGTGGAGGTTGCAGTGAGCTACGATGGCACCACTGCACTCCAGCCTGGGCAACAAAGAGAGACTCTGTCAAAAAAAAAAAAAAAAAGAAAGTCTTCACTTAAACTGGATATAACTATAGATATAATAGGCATTACTCAAAATAGTTTCAGAATACTTTATATTTGAAAAAATCCAAGATGCATTGTACCAGTAAGTATGGTAGTGTAACTAAAAATACAATCTCCAAATTATCAGATGAAGAAAAAGGCCTAATTTATTTTTTTAAATGAGTCACTGTGCCTTCGTTTTGGTTATTCTGGTCACTTTCTGAGTTAACATATCTACTAACGTAGCTCCTAAAAGGCAGACATAATAATACTCACCAAATTAATATACTAGTTAACAAAATAATATTTTCTAGAAATTACAGAATCCTGCAGTATTAGTATTCTCATACTGAAAGCTCCATACTTTCTTTCTTTTTAAAAAAAGTTGCTTGTGTCTCAAGCAAGTTTACCATCAGTGTGTTTCTTCTGTTAGGATGAGGATCTTGCATCTACAAAAGATATCTTACCAACCAATGGAACAGCAGGAATGAAAAAAATGAACATACAGAACATCTACATGGTCAAGTAAAAAGTACTTGGACATGGCCGGGCACAGTAGCTCACACCTGTAATCCCAGCACTTTGGGAGGCCGAGGTGGGTGGATCACCTGAGGTCAAGAGTTCGAGACCAGCCTGGCCAACATGGTGAAACCCTATCTCTACTAAAAATACAAAAAATTAGCCGGGCGTGGTGGCAGGCGCCTGTAATCCCAGCTACTCAGGAAGCTGAGGTGGGAGAACTGAGCCAAGATGGCGCCACTGCACTCCAGCCTGGGTGTCAGAGCAAGACTCCATCTCAAAAAAAAAAAAAAAAAAAGAAAATACTTGAACAAAAATGTTATACCAATTTCCTCAAAATTTTGAAAGTGTAATTATATGTGTATCATAATGTTGCCTCCTTTTGAGAAGACTGAAAGGAAAAGTTTAATGTATTTATTTCATTTCCATCCTCAGAGGGCAGCAAAAGGAGAGTAGTTAAAAGTGTCTGTGATGATCTACTATTAAGTCAAAAGGTTGTAAATAGTTACAATCCTAATTTTCTTTTTTTTTTTTTAAACGGAGTCTTGCTCTGTCGCTCAGGCTGGAGTGCAGTGGCGCAATTTTGGCTCACTGTAACCTCTGCCTCCCGGGTTCAAGCAATTCTTCTGCCTCAGCCTCCAGAGTAGTTGGGATTACAGGCACCCACCACCACGCTCGGCTAATTTTTGTAGTTTTAGTAGAGACAAGGTTTCACCATGTTGGTCAGGCTGGTCTTGAACTCCTAATCTTAAGCAATCCACCTGCCTTGGTCTCCCAAAGTGCTAGTACGGGTGTGAGCCACCACGTCCGGCCACAATCCTAACTTTTTTTTAGGTTTAGGCAAATATGAAAATTTAAAGATTTTCTTTGGTAGTAGACAGGGATTTCAAGGATTTCTCCTCACTTTTGCTTACCTGTATTTCCTGGCTTTCTGCAATGAATATAACTTTTGTTTTTCCTTAATGGAGAAACATGGTAATTTAATTAAAAATTTAAAAATACATTAATTTAAACATCTGATAAAATTTCTATTCCAAAATTGTTAACAGCTCTAAAATCCATAACTCATTTGGTGGTAAACTCTGACATGGTAAAGTCAGAGGTAAAGCTATTTATAATCATTACTTATCTCACTTAGTATGTTCATATGTTTTGCTGCCAAAATATTAATGCCCAAAATACTACTAGAGTGTTAACATATAATACATATATTTTATTACTTTTACATAATCTGAAAAACTTGGAATTCTAATATATATATGGCCCCAAAAGCTTCAGAAAAGACACTGTGAAGTGTATTAGGGATCTCACATAAATCTTTTTTTTTTGTATGATATAAATTCATTAGCCTCACTGGGAAAATGAGATCGTAGTACTTTATGCTTGAATCGTTAGCTATTTGTAATGCTTTCTGGTTTAAGAACCAAAGGGTCTCCACATTCAATAGGTCTGTGCATACGTCCCCATACTATACACAAATTACAGGCTACTAACTAATCAACAAAATAGAGCCCCTATATCATAAAAGAGAAAATTTAAGAATTAAGTCTAGATTTGTTCATTAGTATGAATAACATCAGGGTACAGTATGCTTTTCAGAAATAATTTACATGACTTTGTTTACTATGGGACCCACTCTCTTTTGGGGAAGAATTATGCTCAATGACAGAAACAGAAAATTCTTAAGCTTTTTGGCTTCTAAAAGCAGTATACATTAATGACAAAATAAGGGCTGAAAGACTTAAATTTATGTCAACAAAATTAAGAAACCACACATACAGCTTACAACGTTAACTTCTAATAAGTTTTAAAACTCGAAAAAATGAAGACATAAATACAGAAACTGTAAAGCATTAGTTTTCTCATGTTTCCCTAAGAAAACATGCCAAAACACAAAAGCAAAAAAGAAACAAAACAAAAATCAAAGGAAGAAAAAAAGAATCTATGTATTTAACATAGGTGCTCAATGACAATTATACTAAGGATAGATATTCACCTTCTTTGGGTTGAGCCATAACTGGAGTCTGAGTTTCCTTTGTATACGTGACAATTTCTCGAGGAGGAAAGTCGACTTGCGTGATTTTAGCCATTCCAAGTTTAATAGGTCCTCGTCTAAATTAAGTAAATACAAACAACACAATTTTAACTACATCAAACCATGTTATTTTCAAAAATTAAGAATTAAACAGTCATTTGCACCCAACATTGTAATTTCAATCCATTTTATTCAAGAAATTTTAGATTAACAATAAATTGGCTTTATTTTAGCAAAAGAATGAGAAGGTAGCAAAAGCAAAAGATATTTCTGAATCATTCAGTGTTTTTATTTTCATTTTAAAAAGGCAAGTAATTTCATTTTTTTAGAACAAATGTGCGGGCAATAATGAAGTAAGAGAATAGGAACTTCAGAGTGGACCACTGAATAAGGTTGTCGTAAGAACTGGTTTCAGCTGGGATATGGTTCTTTCTGGACTTTTTTTTAAGAATCAGACTAGATATCACTCAGACCACATTTAGCTGATTGTGCCACTAGGAGAATTCAGCTTTACGACTGAAAAACAGGTTTCTGTTGAAAGCTTTTTTTCTACTTATATTTGGCAGAAATTGAGAATTACACTATCAATTTGGACTTTAAAATGAAATATTTAAAACTTTTAAATCTCTAATCTCTGCATGATCAATACTGTCCTTGATTCACATTATGGAGAAACTAAGGTCCAGATATTCTACACTTAGACTAAAGTGACAGATCTTTTGAATACCATAAATCTACTAAAGTCACTTCTGTTTAGAAATACAGGGTATACATTCTTTTTTGACAATGGAAGAGAGCTGTGGCTGAGGAAAATGAACCAAAAGAAAAATATATTTTATTAGCTATCTGGGAGATCTTTTATTGGTTTTATTAGATGTTTAAATCCTAAACCAAATAAAGTACGCTTCCAGACTCCCAAAAAAGTTCTCAGTGATGAAGCTGCCTTAAAAGGATATACAATAAAGACACTGCTGCAACTTTCAGAATATAAAGCAGGCTATCGCTGGTAATATAACTTTTTTCTTATATAAATATTCTTTTCAGTTCTATTTAGTAACTAAATCCAAGTCCTATACAATCTAATAAAGCATAACAAAGTACTATAAAGTATAATAAAATTAGTACATTTTAAAAATTAATGTTCCAAAATGTGGGCCATAACAATTTTTTAATGTCTTTTCTAGTTTAGAAATAAAAAAGAAAGGGAAAAAAAAAGTATAGTCAAAGAATTAAGTGGACAATTTAAGTAATCTGAAGTAATCTAGAAGTCTAAGAATAAAATTTGAAATAAGAAACTTTATATTCTGATTTTTAAGATGCAAATTATATAAAAAGTAAATCACTCACATAGCTGGAAAAAAATCGTCAAGCCAACAATATTAGGAATCAATTACCAACTTGAATGCATACAGAGTCTAACAGAAAAAACCATAATACTAAACAAACGAAATATTCCAAGATTTTATAGGAGGAGGTGGGTAGGGAAGTAATACCTCACTTATCCAAAAGCCACTTTTACTGAAAATAAGGAAGCAATGGGAGGCAGGAGGGGGAAGCCTCAGTGTGGCCACTACAGAGGGCTTCCAGTTCAAGTACAAGAAACTCATATATTTTTCTTACATGCCTCAAATCAAGGCTTATTTACCTTACTTTAGACACAATTCCAAAAGGTATATTCATATGTTTTTGAAGCTGTAAATTATCAGGGGAAAAGGGCTATCTGAGTCAGGCAAAATGGCAGCAGCAAACATTTATAATTTGCATTAGAATCTAGAATAAATAACTGAATGAATGAATGGATGGATAATCTTATCTCTATGTCAACAAAATTAAAAAACCATACATACAGCTTACAACACTAACTTCTAAAAGAACAAGTTTTAAAACTCTAAAAAAGAGACATACAGAAACTATAAAGCATTAGTTTTCTAACGTTTCACTAAGAAAATATGCCAAAAAAAAAAGCAAAAAACAAAACAAAAATAAAAGGAAGAAAGAAAAGAACCTATTTATTTAACCTAGGGGCTCAATGACAATTATATTAAGAATATTCATCCATACATTCTATGAATAATCTATTAATCCATTCATTCACTCATTTATTTATTCTAGATTCATGAATAGTTTTATTCTAGATTCATGAATAAATAGTAATGAATGAATGAACAGTGTAAGGACCAGCATCTCCATTATTCTCAAAATCTTAGAAATCATCAGTGAATTTTAATACAGAAAAATAAATTAATATTCATATCAAGTAACCCTGAAAAGGTTCAATTACATGTAGAATATTAGAAGAAGTCTGAGAAGTTTTTTAATACATCCTACAAAACTTGTATTAAAAACATAGAAATAATTTTAAACATTTGGACACTTAAATGGACTCAGGGTACATAGAACATCACACAGAATATTCTTTCACTAAAGATACTGGATAAATGAGGTGTCACAGTAAAATATAACTCTTGTCCTTACTACGTGATACAATATTATAAACTTAAGCAAAATAAAATTAGGACAGTTTCACAAAGAATCAAATTCATTATAAAACAGGGAAGGTAAAAAATCTATTCAATACCCCAAATCGGAATCTGAGTGAAGCTGAAGAACTGATGGATCTGTATCCCAATGCAGCGTCCTAAATGGTTGTAGGACAACCATGAAGCATTAGCAAAAAAGGCCATAAGTTAGTCAAGCAAATACATTCTATGAATAGCTAAAGCTAAAGTACTATTCACAATTAAAAAACACATGTTCTGGTTAGTATTAAAAAAAAAAAATCGAAAACAAAACAAGAAATCCACCAGGTCACTCAATCATCTAGTGCATGCAATAGGCTTCCTATGGTTAAAGATGCAAGCATACAACCCAGAATAGTTAAAAGACATTATTTGCAGATTATGGGAAACTAATATTGTATAATAATAGATCTGCTTTAGAACAACTAAAGTCAGACAACCCAAGTTAATTATTTATGGATAACAAGCTAGGCTATAAAATGGTTGAAATTTTAAGATTCCTAATGAAAACAAACACATTAAAACATCTTGGTTAACATATTCTAATCTTCCCCAAAGCATTACATGTGTGCAGGAAATTGTCATACTGGTAAAGGAAATGAGTCAACACATAAGCCTTTTGGTAATAAAACCAAAGACTATCCCACTGGGATACAAAATAGCTAAAGTTTCCAAAATGTGACCCTTCTGTAATTTATGGGTTAAGCACCGCCTTGGGCTTACGTATCATCTGCTTAAAGAAAACAACTAAAGATTTCTGTCTCTAGGAAAAAAATAGATTTTTCCCTGGAAAAATATTTTATGTTCAAATGTCAATCCTAAATATTGAGTTATAAGTTTTAGCATCGCCTGCTGGCTAAGTAACTTACAGAGGATCTTTTCCACTTAAGCCAAACTTAGTTACTAATAGAACAAAAGGTGCTTTATCATACTGGCATTTATATAGGTTAGCAATATATAAGATAATTATGTATGGTACTGTATAATGCTCATAGTCCCCACTAAATAAAGTTAAGCACAATACATTTAGTATTACCATTTTTGTCAAATATATTTTTCACTTATGTAAGACATTATAATTTATAACTAGTTTTAGTTGCTACAATGTTTTAATACAACAAATGGTTTCTCTACCTGCCTATATAATTTATCAAGAAAAATAGTAATGAATTAATCTAGAGAAATCCTTCATTTAAAAAATATAAAGAAAGATCTTGGAATTTAAACAAGGTTATGTGTATGCAATGTAAGAAGCAGCCACAGTGAAGATCTACTTTGTACTAAGCAATGAATAGCAACAAGCTTAGGCTTTGTTAAATCAAAAGTTCTATGAGATGGTCTCCAAGGAATGTTCTGTCATTTACATTATGTAAGAGCTCTGTTATCAATGACATAAAATTCCTTGTTGAGGATGTCATTTTAGTCTAAAATCAAGTAACACTGTACCTCAAAATACAGCCAGTACTGAAAATGCACTGGACATACCTGTACATTATTACATTTATTAGGGGCATCTTCAGGCACATAGAGTACAATTCCAAGTACAAAGCTTGAGAAGTAAACTGATCAAAAATGGAAAAATGGGCCAGGCACGGTGGCTCACACCGGTCATCCTGGCACTTTGGGAGGCCGAGGTGGGCAGATCACTTGAGGTCAGGAGTTCGAGACCAGCCTGGCCAACGCGATGAAACCCCATCTCTACTAAAAATCAAAAAGTAGCTGGAAACCATCATTCTCAGCAAACTATCACAAGGACAAAAAACCAAACACCGCATGTTCTCACTCACAGGTGGGAATTGAACAATGAGAACACTTGGACATAGGAAGGAGAACATCACATACCGGGGCCTGTCGTGGGGTGAGGGGAGGGGGGAGGGATAGCATTAGGAGACATACCTAATGTAAATGATGAGTTAATGAGTGCAGCACACCAACATGGCACAAGTATACATATGTAACAAACCTGCACATTGTGCACATGTACCCTAGAACTTAAAAGCATTAAAAAAAAAAAAAGTAGCTGGGTATGGTGACACACACCTGCAATCCCAGCTACTGGGGAGACTGAGGCAGGAGAGTTGCTTGAACCCAGGAGGCAGAGATTGAAGTGAGCCGAGATCACGCCATTGCACCCCAGCCCGGACAACAGAGCAAGACTCTGACTCAAAAAAGAAAAAAAAAAAAAAGGAAAAAAGGAACAAGAGGCCTGGATTACCCCACTGAATAATTGTTCCTAAATTTTTGAGATAACAAATGTAATGCAGCTTCCTAATCTGCAAAGTTAGAGAGAGATTATTTCTCACGACCTTTTATATTTATTCATAAATTACCACCAGTCCCAAAAGAAATTCTTGGCACTTAGAGTGATTCAAACATGTTTAGACAGCATATTTTATAATGTCTTATCTATTCCTACTCCCTGAGTGTATTAATCTTAGACCATCTTAGCCAACTGAAGTTGCACGTACAGGTGCATGCACACATCTCACATGTCTTCATGTATTTTCCTATTATATTTCTTCTAATTGTCTTTATTCTTACATTAACATCGTGTTTGCTCAATATGAGTTCATTAGGTTTCATTCTGAGACCTGGGCACTCTTTTTAAATGTCACATATTTAGAAATGCATTATTTCACTGCCAATATCACCATCACAATATTAATTACCTCTATGAAAGCTGGATATGATTTAGTAGAATTCATCATTTTCTATTACTCTGTGTGTGTGTGTGTGTGTGTGTGTGTGTGTGTGTGTGTGTGTATATATACATAAAAATGAATATACTCAGCCCTCTTGAAAATTAATGTTTCCAAGTGAGTCTGTGCTCTCAAAGGAGACAACGTACATATTAAGGTTAAAAAGATGTGGCTGGGTGCGGTGGCTCAAGCCTGCTACCCCAGCACTTTGGGAGGCTGAGGTGGGTGGATCACCTGAGGTCAGGAGTTCGAGACCAGCCTGGCCAACATGGTGAAACCCTGTCTTTACTAAAAATACAAAATTAGCTGGGCGCGGTTGTGCATGCTTGTAATCCCAGTTACTTGGGAGGCTGAGGCAGGAGAATCGCTTGAACGTGGGAGGTGGAGGTTGCAGTGAGCCAAGATCGTGCCACTGCACTCCAGCCTGGGCAACAAGAAGGAAATGCCATCTCAAAGAAAAAAAGAAAGATGTAAGGTCACCTCACTCAAAAAGAGGATTTTTCTCTCCGTTAAACTCACAAGAAACCAATTTTGTATTCATTATCTAACAAGAACAAATACTTTAAAAAATATTAACTATTTGTTTTTGTGTTTTACAATTTATCATTAAAAAAACTATGCTTCACACTAAACATAGCACACTACCCTTAGGGCTTTCCAATAAAGTCAACAGTATCTTTAAATTAATGATGTAATCACTACAATGTAAATTCTATGAAAGCAAGGACCATGAATGTTTTATCTTCTGTGGTAAACCATAGTATTTTAATAAAGTTGGTAACTTAATATTTGTTCTATACATGAATAAATATTTTTCTTACCATTATTACTCCCTGTATTAATTTACAATATTCTAAAAGGTCTCTAATAATCTCTGGGTTGTCCATAAAACTCATGGGGACATGTTTTAATTCACATTAATTTAAAAAACTTAAGTGTCAAAGTACTTTTGAAAGCAAACTTGCTGACACTGAATTAAAATAATCTACTATTCAAAATCAGGAACGATGAGTCATAATGTACACAGTATAGTATCTACATAAAAATAATGTATAATATCAAATAAAGACATTTAATAAATATAGTAATTTTTAATCTTGGGAAACATTTTTACTATGGTAATGTTGTAGAAGGGAAAAAAAAACGCTTTCACTTAAAAATGCCAGTTGATTATTAATTGTCTAAAGGAATAGTGGCTGGGTGCAGTGGCTCATGCCTATAATCCCAGCACGTTCGGAGGCCAAGGTGGGTGGATCACTTGAGTCTGGGAATTCGAGTCCAGCCTGGGCAATATGGCAAAACCCTGTCTCTATAAAAAATACAAAAATTAGCCAGGCATGATGGTGCGTGCCTGCAGTCCCAGCTACTCGGGAGGCTGATGTGGGAGGATCGTTTGAGCCCAGGAGGCAGAGGTTGCAGTGAGCCAAGATTGCGCCACTGCCCTCCAGTCTGGGTGACAGAGACCCTGTCTGCAAAAAAAATAAAAAATAAAGGAATAATGACATATTTGTATAAAAATATAGAAGCACAAAATATGAAAAAAAATTTTAACCCTATAAAAATGAATTTACACTAGACAAATTGTCTTTATTCTGTAATGCATACTATTTTATAAGGTAATAACATTATTTCTAAAAAGAAAATTTTGATTTTCCTTAAATGAAAGAGTTATGTCATTTTCCTCCAAAGATAGTATAGCTTAGATTTGTGATTTTGGTTCTATTTGGAAAGCACTTCTCAAATTCAAGCTGGCAAGCTTTATGTGCCTTTTAATTGTTAATGATAACCTGATTATTCAAGAGCTGATTGAAGTATTGAGTTTACAGATCATCCAGCCACCTTGCTTTTTTTTTCTTGCCCTGTCTTTTAGATATTTATTACTGGTTTGTAACTTCAACTAGAGGGACTCAGGCATAAAAAGCTTAAAACTTCTAACAGCTTATGTCTTATTAAAAGGTGTGTTAAGAGATTTTCTTGGTGAGGACATGCAACTTCCTGGCCCAAAATAAGCATTCTTAATCAGCTGTGGATTTTGACTACCTATGTTTAATTTCATTTCAGAAGTCAAAAAGTACATTTAATACTCACTATTTTGTGTGTGTGTGTGTGTGTGTGTGTGAGAGAGACAAAGAGGAATAAGTAGTAATACTTTTCCCAATATGATCTTTGAAAGAAAGCTGAAATCTTACTGAACTTTTGAAAAGCAAGTCCCAACATGTATGCAGGATCCTAAAACAAACACGAAATGTAATTTTACAAGGAAGATGCAAGTTCAGGAATGCTTGACAGTAAACATTCTCAATGTTGTCCTTAGCAGTTATTCCTTACTCTTGACATTTTATGCATTATTATTCTCTATCTTAATTAGCAGAACTAATGACTTAATAGAACAGAATTGAACTGTTTAACAGAATTGTTTACATTTTCAATTACTGAATGGGGAATCAAGCACAAGAGAGAGGTTTTACACTATTTACACCCAAAACATTCACGTAATAACCAACAAAAAGTTTAAACAGAAAAATCTAAAAGCATTAATATCTCTATTTTTAATATAAAATAATTAGCATAAAACCGGTTGACTATTTAGTACTAAGTTAATTAAATGTGACAGTTAAAATATTATTAAAAAAAAACAAAGAAACCTTTTTTTTCTCCCAGTGTCCAACAGAGAATTTCTATGCCATTTTAGATTTTAAAATGTTAGGACTAACTCGACACAACTATTTAGAGTCCCTTTAAAGTATCAACAGTATTTGGGCACTGAATGCATTCTATCATTAAAACATTAAAAGGAAAATTACTGTACCTAGATCCCACGGCGCCATCTCCAGAGTCTTGGCTTCCAGCTTCACTTGGAGTGCTCACAGATTTGGAGGATGGAGACATAGGAGGAGGGACTAAATAGTGAAATAGACAGGTATCCGCTGTTACTACACGGAGAGGTTGCTCAGCTTATGACGTTTCAAAAATAATTTAATGAAGTAATTAACAAAAAAGAAAAAAACAATGGCAAACCAAAAATCAAAAATATATGAATGAAAATGAACAGCAGAAAGAAAGGGGAAAAGACAAAAAGTTAACAATGCATGCTGAAGATTCATGCAATTTTTCTGGCAAAATGCATTTGAGCTTTATAATTTTTTTAAAAAGGCAAGATTATGGAAGGATGCATCTTCATCTCATCCATCACCAAATGTGGCCACTAATTTTCAAAGGAGAGCATTCCTTCTCCCCCTTGTAACTTTTCACTTTTAATATCACCAGATTATAAATATTATTTACAATTGCTGCCAAAATTCAACTCTGAAATATGTTTCATTAAGTTATTTAATCTCTAGTTTCTCAAGATTTATTTTAAAATATTAACTTTTGTCTAATAATTTTTTCTTTCAAAAAGTAATGTTTAAAATGATTTCACTGCCTCCCCCCCAAAAAAAGATATCAATTTAGAGAAATGACTGCAGCTAAAGGAATGGCTCCTTTAAAATGTTCATTAGTTTCCAGCAATTTGGGTGAAAAATGCAAACAGGCAATAAAACAGCATGCCTTCTAGACATTATGCATAACATAAAGTGATGCATGCAAATAAACAAGGCAAGACTTATGGGAACTTCCTTACCCCAGTATTCAGAAAAAACTGAAGTGTACAGACAAAGATACAGACACCCAAAATATTCTTAATCCCTTCTTATAGAAAAATACACATTTTTCATAGTATATAAAATAAACAGCAAGTGCTTTCCCCTAGATCCTCAACTTTTAACATTATATAACAACAGCTGAACGTGCACATTTCATGCTATGACATTTGTAAAACTTTTTGATTACCGTTGCAGGGAGTATAGGAGGATCATCACTGCCATCTTCTGGTTAAATTTTATCATAAATGTCCCCAATCCCAAGTATCTTTTCAAAATAATTTTTCAGTGTATGATATTAAGTGACTAATACAGTTTATGTTGAGCTGAAAGCCCTTCTTTTAACAGTCTACTGAAAAGAAGGCAAGTTCCTAGTTATATAGGAACTAAAGAAATAAGTATTTAATTAAAAGTCTGTGTTTTTTAGGATAGTCACATTCATTGAACCTTAAAATTATGTCTAAATGTTTATACACGCTGCAGTAAAAACAGTGGGCTTGGTAATCTATCAAAATGTATAATATATTATGATGGCTCACATCTTAAACATAAGTATAAAACTGATCATCCTTATTTTTTCAATGGTAAATTCTAATTGACACCAATAAGATTATAAGAAAAAAAAATCACAACTAGAATATTTCTTTCCTAAGATACAGTGGCTAACTGCTTAAATTTCAAAGGACTATAAAAACTTCATCAATGTTTCTAATATTGTGATTAAATGTGTCAGAAACAACTATAAGACCAGATAGCTTCCTATAGTTTACATGTAGGTGGCACTGTGCTAGGTGCTGTATGTATAATTCAAAGTACCTAAAAATGATTTTCATCTAAAGTAGAAGAATATTAATGTCCCTTAATTTATCTTAGGTTACATTTCTTCATTTTTTGTCCATCTTTCACTGTGAGGCTTCCCCTAGTCTAAGTCCCAACTGATATAGGACTAGAGTAATACTTAACAGTTGTTTGCCTACTGTGCTGTAAACACAAATAAATGTTTATTAAATTATAGTGAGGCACCACAATGTTTTCAAGATTTTTAAAGAAGAAATTTTGTATGCTTTAAATTACATACCTAATTTCATACTCAGAAAAACAATTTTTCCAAGTGTACATATCAGAGGTTGGAGGAAAATTAGTAAAATTCCCATCAATCTATTTGTGATGAACTACAGAATTCTTTTTCAGTTTAACATGCTTTTCCCCCTTTCTGATGATTTCAAGTATCAATGACTCCACTGAACAAGTTCAACAGTATTTTACTTGGTTAAAGACTACATTTTTAAAAAATGTTAATCAAAATTCTTTACAGAAACAGGCTAAATACTAATTACACAGATAAACAGATACATTAACAGCCAGTTCTGAAATAAAAGTTTCAGAAATAAAAAATAAAAGGGTGATGCTACCATATTATCACAGTTTCTTAGCCAAAGCCAAAATAAATCACAGTGACTTCACATTTGTAATTATATAAATATCTCCATCCCAGAACTATCTTCTTTCTCCCAAATATAGGTTCAAGCCAAATGATGGAAAAGACTCTATAAAGGACTCTTAGCTATTATCTGAGCCACAGCTACATTTTGCAATAATAAATAATGTATACCACAGAAGGGACAATCCTAGAAAAAAATTACTATCATTACAAAAGGAGGAATATTAATTTTTAAAAAGGGGAATGATAGTGTTATTTGGTAACTGCTACATTTTAATCCAATTAATCTAGAAAAATCAAAGAATACTAGAATTATGCAAGAAGGCAAATACCACTATATTCCCAGACTTCAATAAACCCCTGAGAACAAATGAATGCATGCATTCAGGAGGCCAAAACAAAACAGAAACACTAATCAACTCACAGGTTCTCAAATGTAAGAAAAGACTCACTTCTGGAATTCATTTTTAAAGACAGTTTGTAAGTCTAATCAGCCTTGAAAATAACATAAACCATTACTAATTAATTTTTGCCAAGTATCTGAGATATGATCTGCTTAGTAAGAACAGTGATTCAATCAGATTACCTTTACTCCACAGTTCTGCACATAAACAGCCTAAAACAGGTTTTAAATGGTATAAAGTAAAGGAATTAATATAAACATAGGTGAATATGTTAATGAATTTCAGCTTCTTAGAAGTTTAGAGCACAGATACCTATTCTCTTCTTTGACAACTGTCACAGAAGAAAAAAAAAAAGAAAAAAAAAAAAAGCTAAACCATGGCAGTCACTGATCATGTAGGTAATGTGAGAAAGACTGTACTTCTTTAACTATCCAGGACAAAAAGGCAATCAAGAAAGCCTTTCCTACCAGCTTAGACCTTGTCCTTCCAAGGATATAAAATTAACACTGCTGGCTTCTGGCCTGTGAAGAAACAACTAGAATATTTTTAGACCACAAAGGACCTGGGAATGCACCTAGATTTAGAATTAGCATTAAGTCTGGGTCAACCACTCAGAACTACACAGAAGTCTCAAGGGCAAAGGATGGCACATAGCTGAATTATTTTTCAAGTAGAAGAAAGCCTCTGGCAAGAAGGGGTTTTTATCAGGAAGAAAGACCTGGAAAAGGTAGAAAGCTAAGGAAGGTGAATGTAGGGAATGGGAGTGTTGGTAGAAGACTGTGAAATGGAAGGAGTGAGCTTTTGGGATGCGTGGAACCCAAAGTTGTGAAGTCTCTTCTAAGGTCATCAATGATACTCAGTACTCAAACACAGTCCACGTTACAATAATGCCCCCTTCTGGACACAAGTGTTCTTAGCCCGGAATATTAAAATTTAAATAACTACCTATTTTTCATACCTTACTTTTTTTTGACCTTCTGAAAGATGTTACTTTAAACCTTAACTCTCTGAAATATTAATTTCTTCCTTCCCCTTGCTCTTTCTCTTCATAATGAGGTTTAAATATCCTCTACTAATCTCTCGTAAGAGTTTCATTTCCTTTATTCTCCTTGTCAATGTGATTTAGAGCATTACATTAAAAAAAAGAAATTAATAAGTGAAAATAACATTTTAGCTCGGGTGTGATGTGTCATGCCTATAATCTCAGCACTTTGGGGGACTGAGGCAAAAGGATTCCTTGATCCTAGAAATTTGAGACAAGCCTGGCCAGCATAACAAGACTCTGTCTCTACAAAAAATCAGCTGGGCATGGTGGCGCATGGCTGTAGTCCCAGCTACTCAGGAGGCTGAGGCGGGAGGATTGTTTGAGCCCAGGAGGTCAAGGCTGCAGTGAGCCATGGTTGCACCACTGTATTCCAGCCTGGGTAACAGAGTGAGGCCCTGTCTCAAAAAATAATTAAATTAAACAATACGATTTAGTTGTTGTCCTAAAGCAGAATGGCTTTAATTCGCCCTTACCAGGCGGTAAGACATGACCTAGTAATAATGGAACAAAAATTTAGGTGTCTAGCCTGTGATGGCACCAGAGGTAAAAATGTAAGTAATATATTCTCCTTGCTCTCAAGAATCTCTAACAAAAAGTCATCAAGTTGCCAAATAATTAAGAATCTACCAGTAGGCAGGGACAGTGACTCATGCCTGTAATCCCAGCATCTTGGAAGGTCAAGGCAGGAGGATCGCTTAAAGCCAGGAGTTTGATACCAGCCTGCACACTCAGCCTGTAGAGATGGGTGAGTCCCCATTTCTACAAAAACAAAAAAATTAGATGGCTATGGTAGTGTGAACCTGTAGTCCAAGCTACTTGGGAGGCTGAGGTGAAAGTACTGCTTGAGCCTGGAGGTAGAAGCTGCAGTTTGTGCCACTGTACTCCAACCTGAACAACAGAGTGAGACTGTTTAAAAAAAAAAAAACTACCAGCAAAGAAAAGTTATGAGAGGTTTGATTAGCTGTATCTCTTTTTTCTTTAAACCAATTGTTTTTAGTAGGAAAAAAAAATCCACTTTAGGAAAACAATAGATTGATTTTTTAAAATAAACCCAGTGTTTTTATACTTCTATGCTTTAAAAATATTTAATAAGGAGTACATTCTATATTGAAAAGAAAAACAAGTATCCATCCTAAGTCATGATACAAAATAGATTTTTTACTGTGGTTTACTGTCAAAAAAGGTTTGAAAGCCATGGCCTTCATCCGTATCCTGTATTTTTCAGGCCAAATTACAAATAAATACTGGACTTGTAGGCATATGTTTTAAGGATTATGAAATGCACTTAGCCTAATTTTCTAACGGTAATGAGATCTTCAGAAAGCCTTTAACCCTTCACAGGTTCCATTATAATGGTAAATCTGCCAACAAGAAAGGGAAACATCATTTAGAAATAAGAACCTCAAAGAAAGGAAAAGATGTAGATCTAACTTGGAAACTTAAATTCTTAAATCTAAATACAGTGTTAACCTTTTCTGGGAAGGAACAGCCAACCCTTTGTTCATAGCTATTTGGAGAAACTGGTAATTCAACTGTTAATCAGCTCATGCTGCTTTGATAAACACAATCTCACATGCCTACACATTATTGAAAATTTCAAATAGATATCATAAGCTAAATAAATTAAAGCAATGACATTTGGCTTGTTTTTCAAAGCATATTTATTTACTGCTCCCTACAATGTTCTATCTTGACCAGAATTGAGTCTCCACTCTTAATTACTGACAGCTAAAAACTCTGAAGTCAAATAGTTCACAACAGATAAGCTAATATTTAATCAAGAGGAAGATACTATTCCGCCCCACTCAGAAAAACCTTTGTTGAAAATTATGCCAGATAGTATACTCTGTAAAAAATTTTTTATTAATAATCTATTTATAAAATGACTGGAGATAAAATATGCTACCTTCCCCACTGTCTTATAACTAATCCAAATACTCAACAAAGTTTAAATCATATATAAAATGTTCTTCAAAACCTTTCTATAGCCAATCATGTTCACTAGGGACATTTTTATTTTAAAAAGTAGCTACTTAACTAAATTATCTCTCCATGGCTTAATTTAGTAATAACATTAAACTAACAGTATGAAGTTTAATGGTATCTTTCTTCCTTCTCCCTTTCTCTCTTGTATCTACACTCATAAACAAACAAAAAAAAAGTTGGCATAAAGAAAAACAGCAAGGGGCTGGGCACAGTGGCTCACACCTATAATCCCAGCACTTTGGGAGGACCAGGTGGGTGGATCACTTGAGGTCAGGAGTTCGAGACTAGCCCGGCCAACATGGTGAAACCCCGTCTCTACCAAAAATACAAAAATTAGCTGGGCTTGTTGGCAGATGTCTGTAATCCCAGCTACTCAGGTGGCTGAGGCAGGGGAATTGCTTGAACCTGGGAGGTGGAGATCGTGCCACTGCACTCCAGCCCGGGAGAGAGAGCAAGACTCCGTCTCCAAAAAAAAGAAAAATAGCAGGGGAATGATCTCTTTTAAAGTTTATAGTCTAAACATGCCCATTCAAGATGAATATAAAAATACAATACTAATACTACAATATTTACCCCAGCAAAAAGCTTGTTTTTGAGTTCAAATCCATTAAGATAAAATCAGTTTGTTATTGGCTACAAATGGTTTATCAAGACATATTTTTTATTTTAACCAACTTTTCTCAGAGTCAACTCTCAAAAATCAGAGTCACCTAAGACAGGCTATAAAACTAGGATAATTGGCCAGGCACAGTGGCTCACACCTGTAATCCCAGCACTTTGGGAGGCTGAGTAGGGTGGATCACGAGGTCAGGAGATTGAGACCATCCTGGCTAACACGGTGAAACCCCATCTCCACTAAAAATACAAAAAATTAGCCGGGCGTGGTGGCGGGCGCCTGTAGTCCCAGCTACTTTGGATGCTGAGGCAGGAGAATGGCGGGAACCCAGGGGGTGAAGCTTGCAGTGAGCCAAGATCACGCCACTGTACTCCAGCCTGGGCGACACAGCAAGACTCTGTCTCAAAAAAACAAAAAACAAAAAACAAAAAAACTAGGGTAATTGAAAGCTGGTTATAGTTACGATTAAACAAGCCAGTCTTTAGTCTCTACAGTAGTTTGGTTTAGTGACCCATCTAAGACACTATCCTGCTTAAAACTCTATTAAAATGCCTTTCATCACTTATAAGGCTACGATTTTTTTAAATGTTGAAATCTCTCAGAAAATCCCTCAAAAATTTGTGACTTTGATTTATGGGTAAATTCTCTGTGAATGTGGGCTGGACTTAGTGTTTCTCTTCCAATGGACAGAATGTGGCAGAGGTGATGCTTTGTGACTTCCAAATCTAAGTCATAAAAAGGACAGTTTTCTTCTGACTCTCTTTTTCTCTTCGATTGCTCACTCTGGGAGAACCCAGCTAACATGCTACCAGGATACTCAAGTAGATCCGTGGAGTGGCCCACGAGGATGGGAACTCAGCTGTCCCACTAGCAACCAACACCAACTTGCCAGCCATGTGAACGAACCACCATGAAAGCAAGTCCTCGAGCCTCAGTCAAGACTTCAGATCACTAAAGCTCTAACTGAAATCTTGACTTTGACCCAATGAGAGAAGTTGAGCCAGAACCACCTAGCTAAGCTGCTACCAAATTCTTGACCAGCAGAAACTATAAGAGATAATAAATGTTTATTGTTTTGGGGAGAAAAAA
Source organism: Homo sapiens (assembly GCF_000001405.40). Taxonomy (NCBI): domain Eukaryota; kingdom Metazoa; phylum Chordata; class Mammalia; order Primates; family Hominidae; genus Homo; species Homo sapiens. The sequence continues at coordinate 130,137 of NW_025791761.1, read as the reverse complement.
ACAGACATAAGAAGAAATAGAAAATCTGAAGAGACTATAACCATTAAAAAAACTTGAGCAGTTAGGGAGGCCAAGGCGGGAGGATCACTTGAGGCCAGGAGCTTGAAACCAGCCTGGGTAACATAGCGAGACCCCATCTATACAAAAAAAAATTTTTTAAACTAGCCAGGCATAGTGATACCTGCCTGTAGTCCCAGCTACTTAGGAGGCTGAGGCAGGAGGACTTGAGCCCAGGAGACTGAAGCTACAGTGAGCTGAGATCACACCACTGCACTCCAGTCTCGGCCACAGACTGAGACCCTGTCTCTAAACTGCACCCCCGCCCGCCGCCACACACACACACACACACACACACACACACACACACACACACTCCAAATGATGAATAACCCCTGCTCTCTACTCTCTGTAGAAAAAAGTCATAATCAAGGCAGTTTTAAAATGGAAATCTAATGAGCTTTTAAGAAACAGGCATCTTTTATAAATTATTCTACAAAATAGCAAAAGCAAAAACTGACCAATTTATTTTAAAACCATAACCATGATGACCAATGAACATGGATAGTATAAGAAAATCAAAGGCAAATTTCATTCATTAGTACATATACAAAAAACCCTCAATAAAATATTAGCTAATCTTTTCCTTTTCTTTTTTTTTGAGACGGAGTCTCACCCTGTTGCCCAGGCTGGAGTGCAATGGCGCGATCTCGGCTCACTGCAACCTCTGCCTCCCGAGTTCAAGCGATTCTCCTGCCTCACCCTCCAGAGTAGCTGGGATTACAGGTGCCTGCCACCATGCCCAGCTAATTTTTGTATTTTTAGTAGAGACGGGGTTTCACCATTTTGGCCAGGCTGGTCTCGAACTCCTGACCTTATGATCTGCCTGCCTCGGCCTCCCAAAGTGCTGGGATTACAGGCGTGAGCCATCATGCCCAGCCTAGCTAATCTATTTTTAAAATACATGCAGGCCAGGAGTGGTGGCTCACACCAGTAATCCTAACACTATGGGAGGCTGAGGTGGGTGGATTGCTTGAGCTCAGGAGTTCAAGACCAGCCTAGGCAACACGGCGAGACCCTGTTTCTTTTCTTTTCTTTTGAGACAGAGTCTCGCTCTGTCACTCAGGCTGGAGTGCAGTGGCGCCATCTCGGCTCACTGCAAGCTCCACCTCCCGGGTTGACTCCATTCTCCTGTCTCAGCCTCCCAAGTAGCTAGGACCACAGGCGCCCACCACCACACTCGGCTAATTTTTTGTATTTTTAGTAGAGATGGGGTTTCACCATGTTAGCCAGGATGGTCTCGATCTCCTGACCTCGTGATCCGCCCGCCTCAGCCTCCCAAAGTGCTGGGATTACAGGTGTGAGCCACCGTGCCTGGCCTGTGAGACCCTGTTTCTACTAAAAATTTAAAAATTAGCTGGGTGTGGTGGCAGCACATGCCTGTAGTCCCAGCTACCCGGGTGGTTGAAGTGGGAGAATTGCTTAAGCCTGGGAGGCGGAGGTTGCAGGGAGCCAAAATCGCACCACTGCATTCCAAAATGGGTGACAAAGTGAAACCCTGTCTCAAAAAATAAAAAAAAGAGATAAAATACATGCAAAAACTCATCTGCCATGCCTAGAGGTGACTATGAGTAATTAAAGCAAAAAAGTAAACATGTCTCCTGCTTTTCTAACATTTAGGGTAACCAAAACCCCTAGTTATTGAGAGAAAGCTCCCCTTTACAGAAGAGCTTTAGCCAATAAATGCAGAAAGAATGGCAGAATTACAAAAACAATGCTGCAACTCTTAATTAAATAACTTAGATGAGGATCATCGATGAGTATTAACACCATCAGATAAAAGGCTGATAAAGAAATTAATAGTCACATAGTGCCCAAGTATCACCCTCAGATATTACCTATTAGTCACAAGGGGCTAATTATGATGGAGAGATCAGGTTATCACAATTGTAACCCAATAATCAAGCTTAGCATTGCTCAATAGCCAGAGATGTGCTACTAATATGATACAATATGAAGGACACAACATCACTTATGAGATTTTCTTGCCAAAAAAGTTCAGCCTAAAGTGAATCAAGCTTCTTTTCTTTTCTTTTCTTTTCTTTTCTTTTCTTGAGATAGGGTCTTGCTGTGTCGCTCAGGCTAGAGTTCAGTAGTGCGATCATGGCCAGCACCTTGACCTTGCAAACTCAATTGATCCTCCCACCTCAACCTCCACAGTAGCTAGGACTACAGGTGCCTGCTATCATGCCTGGCTAATTTTGTTTTTCTTTTTTTTTTTTTGTAGAGACAGGGTCTTGCCATGTTGCCCACGCTAGTCTTGAACTCCTGGGCTCAAGTGATCCACCTACCTCAGCCTCCCAAATATCTTTCTTCGTTCTTCCTTTCTCTCTCATATCCCAAAGTAATGGGATGACAGGTGTGAACCACCACACACAGTTCGAATTAGATCAAAATTGAGCTTTTAAATCTAACTTCCAGTTTAAAGGAAATATAAGGGATAAAAGCTAAATGTGAGAATGCCATCAGACAAACCCAGGAGGGGAGACAGTCTACAAACCAATTGGCCCACCCTCTTCAACAAGTAGATATCATGAGGCAAAAAGTAGTATGTGTGTGGAGAATATTCAAGATTTTTAAAAATTAGGAAGGGTGTAGTGGCTCATGCCTGTAATCCCAGCACCTTGGGAGGCCAAGGCAGGAGGATCGCTTTGAGCCCAGGAGTTCAAAGCCAGCCCTGGCAACATAGTGAGACCCCATCTCTATAAAAAAAAACAAAAACAAAAACAAAACAAAAAAATTAGTTGGGCATGGTGGTGTGCACCTATGTTCCCAGCTACTTGGGAGGCTGAGGTGAGAGGATCGCTTGAGCCTGGGAGGTTGAGGCTATAACAAGCCATGGTTGCACCACTGCATTCCAGCCGAGGTGACAGAGCAAGACCTTGTCTCAAAAATAATAATAATAATAATAATTAAGAAAAATAAAAACATATAGCAATGCAATGTATGTATGGTACAGCAACACTTTGGAGGGAAACAAACTAAATTTCTTGAGGAAAGAAAAATGTTTGTGAACCTAGGACTATTTTGTAAAAGGAACAAAGGGGGTGATTTTCTGTATCAGAAATTAGAATATAATACAAAGGTGCAGTAATTAAAACTGGGTTGTGTAGAACCAAACAAATAGATTCATAGTGAAAATAGAGAGCCCAGAAATGCCCATAAATATATGGGAATTTACTGTATGACAAAGTTGGCATCGGACTTCAGTGGGGGAAAAGATAGACTAACAAATGGCACTGAGAAAATTAGCTACCTATATAGAGAAAAATTAGGTTGGATCCCTACCTCATACTATTTTTAAAAATATAACCCAAATATCTACATGTGAAGGGTAAAACTATAAAATTAATAGGAAAAACATAGAAGAATATATTTGCATCCACAATGTAGGAAACAATTTCTTTTTAAAAAAGACCAAAAGCACACAAAAAAGGGTTATACAGGTTGAGTATCCCTTACCCAAAATGTTTGGGACCAAAGGTGACAGATTATTTTGGATTTTTGACTATTTGCATTATACCTAGCAGTTCAGTATCCTAACTTAAAAATCTGAAATCTGAAATTCTCTAATCAGTATTTCTTTTGAGTGTCATGTTGGTGCTTAAAGTGTTTCAGATTTTGGGGCATTTTGAATGCTGAATTTTTGGATTAGGAATACTTAGCCTGTAATTGCTAGATTTGATCATATCAAAATGAAGGATTTGATCATATCAAAATAGAGGATTCTGTTCAATGAAGAATATTATAAGCAGTTAACAGATTAGAAGGGTTTTTAAAAAGACTAAAACAGACAAAAGTCCTCCCTAAAATATACAAAATACACAAAGAATGCCTATACATCAGAAGATAAAGAACCTCAATCATAGTAAATGGGGAGAAGGACATGAATATGCAGTTCACAGAAGGGAAAACTTGAATGGTTAAAAGATATATAAAGAGGTGGTCAACCTCACTGTAATCAGATAAATGTATATTAAAACATTTTGGTGTACCACTTTATACTCATCAAGTTAGCAAAAATTAGAAAGCTGGATAATATCCAGTCATCATGTGAATATGGTAAAGCAGTTACTTTTTCATGCACTGGTAGCGGGCGGGTAAACTTTGTAGCCATTCTGGAGAGTGACACGCAGAACCTAATTAAGCTAAGTCTTATATACAATAACATAGCAAGTAAATTCTTGGGGATACACCCCAGAGAAAGTATTCCACAGTCCTCAAGGGAAAAAACACATATTTTTTGCAGTGTTGCTTATGATAGTAAAGCAAAGAGACAAAAGGAAACTGAGTGCATAGCACTGGGGGAATGGATAAGTAAAATGTGGTACATAATAGGATATTATATATTAGAAATAAATGACTAAATACGTATATAGCAACATGGAATAAACAAAAGACATACAGCACTATGCCATTTATATATATAAAGTATATATACACAGAGATATGTGAAACCTTGAAAAACAGAGGATAATCTGAAGGATGTATGTTAAAAATTCAAAAGTGGGCCGGGCATGGTGGCTAACACCTGTAATCCAAGCACTTTGGGAGGCCGAAGAAGGCGGATCATGAGGTCAGGAGTTCGAGACCAGCCTGGCCAACGTGGTGAAAGCCCGTCTCTACTAAAGATACAAAAAATTAGTCAGGTGTGGTGGCACGTGCCTGTAATCCCAGCTACTTGGGAGGCTGAGGCAGGAGAATCGCTTAAACTCGGGAGGTGGAGGTTGCAGTGAGCTGAGATCACGTGATTGCACTACAGCCTGGGCGACAGGGCAAGACTCCGTCTCAAAAAAAAAACCAAAAACCAAACAAATAAACAAACAAAAACTGCAAAAGTGGTCACTTAATGCATTAGTGGGAATGAGAATGGAATTAGAGATGAGAAATGAGGGACACATACACAAACCCTAAAGAATGGTCTTTCAAGAATTAATGATGGAGATGGGCCATTGATACAGTTTGGACATCCCCTCCAAATCTCTTGTTGAGATGTAATCCCCAGTGTTGGAAGTGGGGCCTAGTGGGAGATGTTTGGGTCATGGAGGCGGATCCCTCACGGTTTTGTTTAAAACTGTGTGGCACCTCCCCCCACCTCTTGCTCTTGCTCACTGCATGAGACATGCTGACGCCCCTTTGCCTTCTGCCATGATTAGAAGCTTCCTGAGGCCTTGCCACAAGAAGCCAGCAACATACTTCCTGTAAAGCTTGCAGAGCCATGAGCCAATTAAACCTCTTTTCTTTTTTTTTGAGACGGAGTTTCACTCCTGTTGCCCACACTGGAGTGCAATAGCCAGATCTCAGCTCACCACAACCTCTGCCTCCCAGGTTCAAGCAATTCTCCTGCCTCAGCCTCCTGAGTAGCTGGGATTACAGGCATGCGCCACCACGCCCACCTAATTTTGTATTTTTAGTAGAGACGGGGTTTCTCCGTGTTGGTCAGGCTAGTCTTGAACTCCCGACCTCAGGTGATCCGCCCACCTCGGCCTCCCAAAGTGCTGGGATTACAGGCGTGAGCCACCCCACCCAGCCACCTCTTTTCAAGTTACCCAGCCTCAGTATTTCTTTATAGCAACACAAAGAACTAACCCAGCCATAAATTAAGAAATATGAACACTTTAGGGGTGGGTGGATCATGAGGTCAGGAGTTCGAGACCAGCCTGGCCAATATGGTGAAACCCTGTCTCTACTAAAAGTACAAAAATTAGCTGGCGTGGTGGCACAAGCCTGTAGTCCCAGCTACTCAGGAAGCTGAGGCAGAAGAATCGCTTGAACCCAGGAGGTGGAGGTTGCAGTGAGCCGAGATTGTGCCACTGCACTCCAGCCTGGGAGAGTGAGTGAGACTCAGCCTCAAAAAAAAAAAAAGAAGAAAGAAATATGAACAAGTGAGTTCAGTGAAACTAAAGTCTTAAGAAGAACATAAAAGAAAAAAAATCCTATAGGAGAAAAACAAAAGCCAAAGCACAGAAAAAAAAGGTAACTCAAACAAAGGCTAACAAGCAACTTGGTTTAGTTACAAGAAATTAAGTGTTCTGATTCATTTACTTTTAAAATTGCATGTTCAACATAAGCTTATTGAATAAATACATAAAATTAATATACTTCAGTCTTCAAATTCTACAAGAAAAGGAAAATGAGCTGAAAGAAATAACAATGAAGCTGACCATGAGAGTAGCCAGCCTTTTCATCTTGAAACCTTTTAGAAATATCAGCTCTAAGGACAGTTATGTTGCAGTTTCACAACAAGCATAGAGCATTTACAATCTCCAGTATTTGTCCCCTGGACTAGATAAAATTAGCCCACCAACTAGCCCTAAAATGTTAGGTCTCTAAAGGATAAAGGCCATGTTAAACTAAAATACTACATAATAGCACCCAGCACAGAACTATTTTAAGTAAGCATTTGTTCCTGATATGTAACTAGATTGTCCTGTGTACCTCTACTATTTCAGCTTTTTTGGTCTAGTACAGTTATCAAAATGAATAACCCAGAAAAATAATAAGATTAAGTCAAATCACTTCGAAAATAAGCCACAAAATTATCTCCCTTATTAGCATTAACAGCAGAAGGCTATAAGCTTATCCTTCCACTCCTGTACCTTTGAATACTAATATATTTTGCATTCTAACAATATAAGTCTGATTGTATCTCTCGCTAATCTCCAGAAAGGAATATAGAGTTCAGATCAGGAATCCTAGTTATCTTTGAGCTTAACACAGTATGGCACATAAAACTTGCTTAACCAATGTTTGTTGAAATAAATTACTGATTTAATAAGAGAAGTCAATTGGTAGTTCAGTATATGTTAATAATTACTCTTGCAGCTCTTTTGAACAAATAAAATAACCATGTACTAGCATATCTGAAAAAAAGACAATTCCAAATAAAAGATTAATAATTTTAGAGACACAAGGAAAATATGTAAAATATATCAAGTCAATCCACTCAGCTATGTCTGAGCTGAACAGAATCTATGCCTATCTCTTATAAATGGATATATTCTTAACCTTACCAATGGGGGATTCTGGAGTTAGCCCCATGCTTTGAAGCAATGCTTCAGCTTCTCTCCTTTTTTTTTCAAGATCTGATTCTTCTTGCACAGGAGCAACAGCTTCCTTCTTCTGGTCTGTCTAAAATGTTTAGGTTAAAAACTTATGTTTACATATAGTATGAAAAATTTGTTTGCAAAAATGTTTTAAATAATATGCTAACACTGTATACTTTTAAGGCATGAACTTAGTTTTGAGTACAGGTTAAGTTCTTTTTATAGTCATTAAATGAAAATCATTCTCAATAGAGTTCTAGTAAATAACCTTCAAATGATATGTACTAAACTGCTCTATCTTCATATGTAATCAAGGAGTTTCCACAAAAATTTTCCTAACAGACAAATTCAAGAAGTACAGTCAACTTCGAATTATCTACAGTATGAAATTGCTGTCTATGGTCAGGAATAATAGACAACTTCCCCCAAGTGGCACAAAAGGTTAGATACAATATCACATACAATGAAAAAATTAAAGTGTAATTATTTAAGAGGTAACAAATTTTAAGTGAATGACAATATGATTTGTTGAAAAAGAGTATCACAAACTTCTGTATAAAGTCTTCATTTTATTTGGGATTGTGTTTTGTAAAATTAAACTCACTTTTGCATAGCACAAAACATTTTGTTATGAAAATTTTTGTCAGCTTTTATCTCGGCTATTTATCGTTTTAGCACAATCTGCTGGTTAAACTAGATAAACCTCAATACTCTCAGATCATCCAAGACTTCTCAAGTAAAATGTAAGCTTTCCAAGGAAAAGTTTTTTTTATGTAAATCTCAAATCCCTATGCCACCTAGACAACTATTACTCAGACACTGTCTGGAGTGAATTTTGTTAGCCATAATATTCTATGCCATTTTGACTTAAAAGTCATCAGAAAAATTAATCAAAATAACAAAACAGGTTGTAATATCAAGCTGATGCTTCACTGTTGATAAAAATATATTAATAGACTCACAGTTTAATACCATTGTATTATCTCTTGTAACATTTTTATAAACTTTGTTTTTTCCCATTGGTCTGTGTGACTCAATAAGTTTTACAAGCTTTAAATTAGGTATAAATCATGCAATAGATATCCCTTAGAACCCATTTTTGCCAGTTATGGCCATCATTAGAAAACAAAAATGAAATTTGCTCTCAGCACGGAAATGTTTAGGGATATAAATATTATTTTGGAATAGCTCTGCCAACCTGAATCATGCTTCTACCAGTCAGCTTTTAATCTAATAGCTAATGTAAAGCTCCAATCCTCTTATAATGTCTCACAGAAAGGTTCAGAATAAACTAGCAAATTCTTCAATTACAGGCCTTTACAGCATCATAGTAATGCTGCACATAAATTGTACCTTCAACTTTTCTACTACTTATTTTTCTCTTAGTCCCCAAGAGATTTCTGGCAGTCTTGGCCATTATTTAGGCTACCACATATAAAAACTTGGTCCTAAAGACACACAAGAAAAACTACCTTACACTAGGTATTTAAAACATATCTGTAGTAAAAGTACACTGATATGTCTAAAGAGTTTCCATAGGGATAAAAGTATATTTCAATGCATGAACAAGTAAAATGTCTCCAGCTCAGGGCCAATGTACATTTGCTGTATATAATGTGATGCATATTTTTGATACAAAAAATCAAAAGAAGTACCTGGTCCACCTTTATGGTACCATCAAACCTACTACTCAGTAAAAATATTTCAATGACTAACTCATAAGAGATAAGAACAAATCCCTTAGTCAATTAAATCATCTATTACATATATTTTATTTGCCATTAATATTATCCATTCTGACAAATTAGCAATTCAGACTAGCAAAATATTCAGATAAATTCAAAGTCCAAACTAAGTTATGATATATATACACCATATTTATGAGTTATTATAATATAGACATCTTGACTGAGTGTGGTGGCTCGTGCCTGTAATCCCAACACTTCGGGAAGCCTAGGCAGGAGGACTGTTTGAGTTCAGGAGTTCGAGACCAGCCTGGGTAACATGGCAAAACCTCGTCTCTACAAAAAAATACAAAAATTAGCCTAGCATAGTGACATGTGCCTGTAGGCCCAGCTACTCCAGAGGCTGAAGTGGAAGGATCACCTGAGTCAGGGGAGGTTGAGGCTGCAGTGAGTTGTGCTCAAACCACTGCACTCCAGTCCGAGTGACACAGTGAGACCCAGTCTCAAAAAAAAAAAAAAAAACCCAAAACAAAAAAAAATACAGATGCGCCTTACTTTATAATAAATATATTCCTAGGAGACTAAATTGTAAATTGAACTTTAATAAATCAAATTTTAGAAATGCATCAATCTATACGAAATTGTTTTTAAAAATCATATTTTATCAGTTTTGTCATTTTCACATATCTTGCTTCTTTAAAGTAAGATTCACTTACAGTGTTATGTCTGCAGTCAGAACTGCTAGATTTTTAACTATCCTGAAATTATTAGGTTTGTGCAAAAGCAATCATAATTTTTGCCATTACTTTTAACCACGATTACTTTTGCACCAACCTATATGTAAATATATAAATATGTGAAATAAAACCCAATTACTTTATGTTGTTTATTTAAGCAAAAAAATCAAACATACTTCTTTTTTTTTCCTTTCTTCTTCTTTTCTCTTCTTTTCCTCTCTGATTTGGGCCAGTCGCTGCTTCTTACGTTCCAACTCAGCCTTTAATTCACTTTTGTCTGACATGTTTGTGACCTTAGAAACATATAATCATTATGTTAGTAAAAGCAGCACAGTTGAAAAAACTAGTGTTCCAAGAAGAGAACTGTCCCGAAAGGCCATATAGTTCAATGCTATCTCAAAAAAGCACAAAAACCTTACTTTTAAAATAATGGGGCTGGGCAGTAGCTTACTTTGGGAGGCTAAAGTGGGAGAACTGCTTCAGGCCATGAGTTTGAGACCAGCCTGGGCAACAAAGCAAGACCCCATCTCTACAAAAAAAAAAAAAAAAAAAAAAAAGGCAAGAAAAATAAAAAATTAGGCGGCATGGTGGCATGTGCCTGTAGTCCCAACTACTTGGAAGGATTGCTGGAGCCCAGGAAGTCAAGGCTGCAGTGAGCCGTGATCATGCCACTGCACTCCAGCTTGGGCAACAGAGCGTCTCTAAAAAATAAACTTTTAAAAGATAAAATAAAGGAAGCATATATATTATTACTAAGACTTAAAAAATGTATAAACAAATATATATAATAAATATTACCTAGAGCTGAGCATAGTAGCTAGCCCATAGTAAGCACTTTAATGTTCGCATACACAAACTGAACACAATGTCTCAAAGTTTTTGATGACAATATATTAGGTACCCAAGATAAAGGTCAAAACTGGCTCTTAAAACAGAGGACATGGTTTGGCATTTAGAAGCTCTTAAGCTATATGACACAGATCAAAACTATTACCAATTCTATTGCATTCATAGAAACTTGATAAAAAACAATAGGTCAAACTGAACTTTCCTGTAAGTTCTAAAAGTGCTGTAGTAATACTAAAGCAAAACGCAGGAGTTACCATCATTAGCTATCAAATCATATGACTGTATTTCTCCACAATAACACCTTACGTATACCTCTGATGGCACTTTTAGTACAATTATTTGTGGACATACCTGAAATGTTCCCTATTAGATTGTAATGTACTTGAAATCAGGGACTGTTTTTTAGTTATTTTTGTTGCCTTCACAACATCCAGCAGAATGACCTTAACATTACAATTGACACTGGCTAATGAATAATGGATACGGTAGACACAATTACAATCTGAGCTTCAAAAACCAATTGCATAAACACTACTTCAGCTTGAGTTTTAGGAAGAAATAATGAATTAGGATTTTTTTTTTTTAAGTAGCCTAGCAGCTGAGCATAAGGCAGGAGCCAGGAACTCCTTACCTTCTCCACATGATTGACTTATTGCCTAATGATCAATCTCTTTCAATGTCTCTGTACAAGTGAAGTATTAAATGCTTTAGATCAAGAAAACTAGGAGAATAACCTCTGGAAAACTGTATTTCCAGAGGTTAGGGGAAATCTCTTAAAAAGCACAATTGTTAAATCTGAACAAAGGTAAGTCAGTCAAGAGGAGAAATTCACCTACTAAGAAGTGGATAAAGGAAATTTCAGCTACTAAACTCCATTAAGACTGGCAAGCGAATTGATAATTTTCAAGCATACGAAAAGGATGAAAAGTTGACATAGCAGACCTGAAATATATACACAATATCTTCCAAGATTTGTTTGAACAAACTAAAAGCAAGAGACCGTGTTTCTTATTCCACTCTTTCTACACCTCTAAACAGCTCCATACAAACGGCTGGTGAAGAGAACTTCCATACGTAACTGTATGCTACGCTAGGCACATTATATTTTGTTCAACGTCAACTGTAAAACAGATATACCAACACTAATTGATATTAAAATAAGCGCATTTTTAAAGCCCAACAACAAAGTCTTGACCAGCTGAACTACAGCTGACCAATCCTCTCATCCTCACAGAAGCCAGAGCCTTCCTCCATGACCGACATGTTCACGTTCTTAAAACTCAAGAGAAGAGAGTCTCTAGAGTTTTGTGCTAGAACCTCCGTGTTCGGGGGCTTTCCATCACACATAAGGTGAGGGGAGACACTATCAAGGCAAGTAGAGATGGCCTTAATTTGTAAAATGGGGCAAGGCGAAAACGAATCACTTTCTCCCCTGGGGTCACGGCCAAGAGGGCGCGGTCCACGGCAGGGCGTCCGGAAGAAGCCAGTGGGCGCCGGACAAGCCTCAAGGCTCCCCAGGCCGCCTCTGGAGGGTCGAGAAGGGAAAGGAGTGGACTCCTCTCGCCGGGCCGCAATGAGTCACCGCACCCAGGTCTCCCCGCCTTTCCTCCCCAAAGCTGGGCCGGGCGGGGATGTCAGCAGGAACTGCCAAGCCGCCCTTCGAGTTGCGACGTGGAACACAGGCAGGGAGGCCTTGAGGGAAGAACAGTCAACCCACCTGTCAGGTGACTGGATGGGGAAGAGTCCTCCCGCCTGCAACTTCCCGGTAACGTCCCTCGCCTAAGCCCCCAACACCAACTGTAGCCACCACCAGCTCCGCGGCTTTCCAAAGCACACAAAGAGGGATGGGCGGCGGCTGCTACGGCGAGAGCTTAGGGACAAATAGCCTCACCAGAACGAGGTCGCTCCCAGAAATAAAAGGTGGGGCCCTGCTGCGAGGAATTGTAGCCCCTCCGTGACTTACCTGTCGTAAAGCAGAAGCCGGTAGATAAAACAAAGAACCCAGTCAACCCAGGGGCCTTAAGTATTTCCGCTTTGCCAAAAACTGGAAAACTACGCCTAATATTCTCAGGCCAGGAATCCAACTTCCGCCCTCGCCTTACAAACTGACACGATCGAGAAGAACTACAAACCCCGGCAACAAGGAAAACCTGCGTGCGACGAGCAGTGCGTTCTGGGAATTGTGGTCGCTGGGCGTCGCAAGGTGTGCTGGGACATGTAGTGTGTCCCCTCCTTTAGATTTCCCACTCCAAGGCCTTCTTCCGTCGAGAAGCTTCTGTATAAAGTATTCTCGTCTGTTGATCCGTGCCCACAGTGTAGTATGTGTTATAGTGTAAGATCTTTGACCCAATATTGGCGGAATTTTAAGGTCTATTTTCCAGTGGTGAACCTGTGAATCACGCTGCTGCACATTTGGTGAAGACGTGAAGTAGACTGTTTAGGATGTAAAACATTATATATATATATGTACATACATATGTAAGTTTTAGGGAAAGAATGTCTTATATAGGCTTCATGTGGCATCTTAGGCAAAATCTAAATAAAAATATGTCAACTGACATAGCAAATAATTCTTTAGTATTTTGTTGCAGTGTGGTAGCATTTTGGTTTTCTCTCAAACAATTTTAGGAAATAAAGCATTTTGTATTATTGGACTCTCAAACCAAGCTAGAATGTTTTCCACAGTTAGATTTTTAACATACAAAGAAAACAAAAGTTACTGGAACATGAATTTACCTGCAATGTATACATTGACACACCTTTTTAAAGTTTAAATAATTTAAAGCATTATTTGGCAGGAGTTAAAGCTAACACCAAGGTAATATCTTTTCTATGTTCTAGAAAACTGATTGTTCTAGAAGTTCTAGATATTGCCCAAGTCTAGAATGAACCTTTATGATTCAAATTCCAAGTCCTTGGGCTTGTGGTCTTTTTCTTATCTTTCTCTGCCTTATCTGTGGTCTTTTGTGTAGAAAAAAATATTCTAAAAATAAATTTGAGAAAGAAAATCCTTGGCTTTCCACAGCTTTTCCCAATAACCTAACATTCAAAGAGCTTTATAGCTATGTTATTTTTTTACTTCTTTCCTAATAGTTTTCATGTATTAATTTGAAAAAAAATTATTATTGATTGCCTACCATGTGCCAGCAATGGTGATGGGTGTTGTGGTAACAGCTAAAATGGACCAGGCGCAGTGGCTCACACCTGTAATCCCAGCACTTTGGGAGGCCGAGGCAGGCAGATCACCTGAGCTCAGGACTTAGAGACCAGCCTGGGCAACATGGTGAAACCCCGTCTCTACAAAAAATAGAAAAATTAGCAGGGTGTGTGGCATGCGCCTGTAGTCCTAGCTAGTCACGAGGCTGAGGCAGGAGGATGGCTTGCGCCCAGGAGGCGGAGGTTATAGTGAGCTGAGATTACACAATTGCATTCCAGCCTGGGAGACAGAGCAAGACCCTGCCTCAAAAAAAAAAAAAAGAAAAAGAAACAAAAAAAACAAAAAACATAAAAATGCACAAAAATGCACATCCTTCTTCTCAAGGGAGAAAGGACACTCGCTCAACTAAGAATGGATGGTTCCTGACTGATGGTTTAACTTATGATTTTTTTCTCATTACAATGGGCTTATTAGAGTAAAATGCATTTTCAACATATATTTTTGACTTAAAATGGGTTTATCAGGACATAACTCAAGGAGCATCTGTATAATGATGGAATTATATAAGGAAGTCATAGAAACACCTGGAAAAACTTTTCAGGAAACTTTTGGAAGGAGGTGATTCTAGAGCTAAGTCTTTGATTCTCAAAGGTTGAGTAGAAGAAGTTAGCCAAGCAGAGAAGATGCAGAAAGGTGCCTTGGGAAGAGAAAAGAATATGGACAAAGGACAGAGGTGTGAGAGCATAGAATGCTGGTGAATTTGGAAATAATTCACAATGGCCGTAGGCTAAGACAGGAACTGGGGAATGAAGCCATAAGCAGGGGCAAAGTCGCACATCCCAGTTTAGATTTAGTCCTACAGATGATGTGAATCCACTGGTAGATTTTAAGAGGGTGCAAGGTATGAGAAGGTTTGCATTTTAGATGACTGGCCTTTCAAAGTAGTCCGGAGAAAGACTAATGTGCTGGTTATTTTCTTTGCCCCCCAGATTCATTTCCTGCCCTTCTTTGCTAAGCTCTATGCCTCTGAGGGTTGACCTCAGTTTCTTTAAGGACTGCTTTGTGGTTGGACATAAAGAAGGCCAAGGCAAGGATATCAGAAGGTGGGTAGAAAGGGAAATTGGGGCATCTCTTCCTTGCTCCTTCCTTCTTTGAGTGTCAGATGTCCAGCAATAGCTTCATTCCTTCATGACTACAGTACCTGCCAGATGGCTCTTTCACCATGGCTCTAGTTTTCCCCGGGCTGTCTGGTGATTTTATGTTCTCCTTTTATCTCTTGAACACCTCCTCTGTAGCTAGTCTCTGAGTGCCTCATCATCTCGTTTGTTCCCTTAATACCCGCTCACCCCTCTGTAACTTGTCCTTTCATTAAAGTATTTTCATGTGAACTATCTTGTGAATTCTGTTTCTTGTTGAGACCCTTGTTGATACAGCTTGCCTAGAGGGATGAGAGGTGGAGAAAGAGGTAAGGTAGAGACTGGAAGCAGGGAATGCAACTGGAAGAATTTGGGTAGAGCCAGCAATTATAAATGCATGAACTGATGCATCATCAGTGAGAATTAAGAAAAGTAGATGGATTGGAGAAATGTTAACATTATGTGAGACTTCTACAGCAATAAAGCAGACTAGATACCTCTTCCCACTGAAAACCACTCAATATACTGGCTGGATAATGTAGCTTTTGAGTGGGTACAGTGGCTCATGCCTATAATCCCAGCACTTTGGGAGGCCAAGGTGGGAGGATCACTTGAGCCCAGGAGTTCGAGACCAGCCTGGGCAAGATGGCAAAACCCCATTTCTGTAAAAAATTTTAAAATTAGCTAAATATGATGGTACTCACCTGTAGGCCCAGCGACTTGGGAGGCTAAGGGCGGGAGGTTTGCTTGAATCCAGGAATTTGAGGCTGCAGTGAACTATAATCACACCATTGCACTCCAGCCTGGGTGACAGAGTGACATCCTATTGCTTAAATAAATAAATAAAATTTAAAAAAATGTTTTAAGATATGAAATACGTAACTAAAAAACCCCCCACTTTTTTGTTGTTTTATTTTTAACACTTTTTTGAAGAAATGCATTAGCAGCACTGATTAGAAAGACTGTACCCTGGACATTACATAGTTCAAACCACTATGTCTTCCTACTTTTTAAGTTGGAAGGGCTGGGGAGGAGTCCTAATAAGCATTAGTGCTGCAGGGTGTTTTCGAAGGGGAGAATTTGCATTTTAAAACTTCTTATAATGGTTTGTAGGAGAGGGTAGAAATATAATATATACAGATGAATTTGTTGAACAAACTCATATCTGGATTTACACTTGAATTCAATATGCCAATGTTTGCAAAATTTTAATACAATTAATATATTGACATAATGCAGGATTTCATTTATATAGAATGCAAAAGAAGGTAAAACTAATCTAATGAAATGTCAGAATAGTGGCTATTGAGGTATAGGGATATTGATGGCAAGGGATATGGGGAGGTTTCTGCGGTGCTGGGAATGTTTCATTTCTTCATCTGGTGGGGGTTACACACATTTACATATCTGTAAAACATTCATTGACCTCTACTCTTAACATGGGTCCTTTTTATTGTATGTATGTTATATTCAAAAAATAGTTAAGAAAAAAGTAGCTATTAAACCATGGGACTTAAACAAATGTATAAAACATCAAAAAGATGTAGCAGACACCAAATTGGAAGAGGAAGGAATTTGAAGGGGTTAAAAATGTATTCTGCTACCCAGCAGTTCAGGCATCTCAAAATATTCCAGGAACTCTAGTAAGTCCCAAGTAATCAGCTAGAACATTTATAGCCATTTGTTGACAACCTTGTTATATACATCCTCATCATACAAGTTTTTAATGAAATTATGTTGTGAAAAGAAAGCTGTGGCCCCATAGCAATGCATGAAGCTTTCTAGTAATTATATTTTTAATGCTCTTGCGTAAATGTCACTTGATTGGTTTATAACTTTGCTAAAATGACATGTATAAAATCTAATACATACATTTGTGTGACCTTCTTACCATGCAAAGAACATTTTCCAGGACCTTTTCATAAATATTGGATTGTTATTATTTTTTCCACATTTTAATCAGAGGTCCTCTAAGATTTCACTTTGGTTAAGTTCATGAGGTTTCTACCAGATTGCCTGTGGAATCTTGAGATTGTTCATTCTTCACATGTTAACAGCTCTTCCTGAGTCACTTGTGTTTTTAATTTTTTTCTAAATATTTCCACTTCACCTTCAGTAAATGTATTTGACTCTTAGAAACATTGGCATGAGAAAATATTTTCTTCCAACTTTGGAAACTCTCTTAACTTTCCCATTTGCTCTCATGTCTAAGAGAAGCTCTTTAGGAAACTATCTTCACTCAGGGGAGTGTTCATGAGCTGACCAGCAGGTCTCTGATAATTTAACAGCATTACTTTTCTATTATCCTTATTATTGTTCTAGTCTGTATTTTTCCCTTTGGAGTGTTTGCTGCATTGTTAACTTAATATAGGTTTTTTTTTTCATTATTTCCTCTACTTGTCTTGATGCACATATTTTCTCTGTTAGTGTCAAAATAAGGTGATGGTGAATTATGAGTCCCTTCTGAGCCTAGAATACTTTTGTAATCTGGTAACCTTTGGCATGAAGCACATATCCTAGTGAATGATGGAGCACTTAAGAGTGATTCGCCACTGAGCATTACAGAAAATAGGCTGAGGGGCTCAAAAATTCAAGGCAAGTTCCTTCTACTCAGCATGGTGTATATACTGCACTCTCACTTTCCTACCCCCTATTATGTGGTTAAGAGAGAGGAGATAATGATGGCTTCTTAAAGTTACTGATAATGCACTCAAAAAAACTCTGTTAGGTGTAATGGTTTTAAAAGGTAGAATGAAAACACAGCTAGGAGATCAACACAAAAGGAATCATTTTCTGTTAGAGACAGTGAGCCTGTGCCCTTGATAACACACACGCAGCTCCCATTAACTATAACAGGAATTATGAGTGCCCCGTTAAAGGAGCGTATACCCCCAAAATGTGGTAGGGGCATACACTTTCTTCACCAGAGTTTCTTGTATTGATTTAGTTTCTTATGGTAGAATAAAATATTGTATTATATTTTTAATTCCTCTTGACTATTCAATATATCATCTTTTGAATGTGGGAGTGTAAAATAAAAATTGCTAATTGGCAGGTAGAATATATTTAAACAACCACAAACCCTATGTAAAGCCCAAACCAGACCCAGATTGATTAATTTTCAGGCTAGAAGCATTGACCTGTAATACTCCTCATTGAATATTTATTCAACATTTGACCTTACTGACTTTAGACAAATTTAAGGGTGGTTAAGACTTTCCACATTAATGTTGAAATGAGCTTCTAATTCTGAAGAACTGTTGATTAACAACATGCACAGATTTACGTAATGAGAAAAGAACTGTGGTTTGCTCAGTGGTCTTTCCAGCTGTATGTAAGTATAGAAATATAGAAATCTTGATCACTGGCAGAATTTTAGGTTTTCATTTTGTTTTGTTTTGTTTTTGAGATGGAGTCTCGCTCTGTCACCCAGGCTGGAGTGCAGTGGCGCCATCTCAGCTCAATGCAAGCTCCGCCTCCCGGGTTTACGCCATTCTCCTGCCTCAGCCTCCCGAGTAGCTGGGACTACAGGCACCTGCCATCACGCCTGGCTAATTTTTTTTTGTATTTTTAGTAGAGATGGGGTTTCACCATGTTAGCCAGGATGGTCTCGATCTCCTGACCTCATGATCCGCCCACCTCGGACTCCCAAAGCGCTGGGATTACAGGCGTGAGCCACCGCACCTGGCCAGAATTTTAGTTTTTAAAATGTTGTTTGTGGATATGCCTGAATATGTGTGTGTGTGTGCGCACAGAAATATTTGTGCAAATGTAACACCATTTCCTGAGTTCCCAAGCCGTGCATCCAACTCTCCACTGGATATCTCCTGGAGATCCTGCAGGCACCTCACATTCTACATGTCTAAAACTGAACTGTCACCTTTCCTAGCAAGCCTGCTCCTCCTCCCCTGTTTCCAACCTCACTGATGAAACCATCATTCCTTCACTCAACCAAGCCACAATCTTCAAAATCATCCTATTTCAGATTTCATATCCCCCACATTTGTTGATTCCATCTCCTACATATTTTCTGGAGGCAACAGGAAGACATTTGTGGTGTGAGTGGGCAGGCTGTAGCAAGCATGAATCTAGCATCAGATCTAGGCAGATGGTCTTCCTGAGAGAAGTGTGAGCGCAGGAAGGGAGAATCCAGCCACAGGACTGGCAGTGCGGAAATTCAGGCAAGATAGTCCCAAGCTCAGATAACTAACAGATTAGTGGGAAAACGAAGCAGTAACGAGCGAATGCCAGGGGTGGAGACGTAAGATGGGGGATATATTCCTGGAACTGGGATGGCAAGCAGGACTTGGTGACATATGGCCTAAATGGTCACTTGCTACAAGATAAAAGGTCACAACTGGGCCAACAGTAAACACTTTTATTAACGCAGAGCCACAAAGCTCTGGATCCCATAGTCCTTACATTTCCCTGGCCTGGGAGCCAAATTAAGCCCAGAGTCTGGAGTAGGAATGCAGGAGCAGATGGGAGTTGGGTGGTCCCAGCTTCCAGCTTCTGGGACTTTGCAGCCAGAGAGGTCGTCACATAGCTATCTCTGGATGCTATCTGTAAGTGTGTCATTAACAGCTCCCTTATCATTTTAATTTATTGCTTAAGATGTTTTTCTCTGAATAATTTCACAGTTTCAAAAGAACAATGTTTGTGCCATGTATTAATATTTGGCTATTCTCGGGTATATACTAGATTACCAAGGTACCTGGATTAGGACAGTAAATTGCAAGAGGGCAAATGCGTCATCTTGCTTGGCCTACACTGTTTCCTCAGCCTTGAGAATAGTATCTAGCCCATGTGGGGTATACGAGAAACAGTCATTAATTTTGGTTGAATAACTAAGTAATTATAATCGTATTTGTTACTTTGGACCTTACAGATTTAGATTCTAACAGTTAAGACATCACAAACTGTAATCTTGCTTTTCTCATTGTAACAAAGTAAACAAGGAAAACTAGGAGTGATGTTCAATATATTGTTTTCAAGCAGCTCTGTAGCAAAACATTTGAATTAATAAAGATGCTACTTATAAATTATTTTTGAGGGGCCGAGTGTGGTGGCTCATGCCTGTAATCCTAGCACTTTGGGAGGCCGAGGCGAGAGGATCACTTGAGCTCACGAGTTCAATACCAGCCTGGGCAACATAGTGAGATCTCATCTCAAATAAATAAATAAATAAATAAATAAATGTTGACATTCCCAAAACTCATTGAAATCATAGAAAAATACTAGTACTCTCAGGTATGAGAGGGTGTGAGAGAACCACAAGTGATACTGCGGGAACGAGCTCAGAGCCCATAGCTGCAGGGGCGTCAACACCCACAAGGCCTGAAGAAAGGGAGAGAGAGTAACAGAAACCTGACTCAAGAACATTTTACAGGGTGAGGTATCTTGAGCCCAGGCAGCTCAAGGTGACCTCATAGGGAGGAAACCAAGGAAATAAGTGACCCTGATGTCACTCTGATCTCCTCCTGGGGCTTCCCGTTGGCCAAACCCTACTGGAAGCCAGTAGGCACAGGAGACCATTCACCCAGGTCAGCCTCCTGAGGCCGAAATCAGGGTGGAGAAGGGTGAAAGTGCATCTGGAGGGGCAAAGGGAAGGTATCAGATGACATGTTACAGGTGGTTTAATTCTGAGAAGTAAGCACTTTGTTCCCGGTAGGCAACCATACATTGTTAAGTTTTCAGTTTCAGCTGACTGGAGCTACTGGCTTCAGGTAAATAATAGCTCATCTCAAGGTAGCTACATGTCACAAAACACTCAATGGGGATTGGAACAATGCCTGTAAGGAGTGTGTGTGTGTGTGTGTGTGTGTGTGTGTGTGTGTGTGTGTGTGTTTTGTTTGTTACTATTCAAGGACAATATTTTCCAGGAATGAGACCAATGTACATTTTGCCACTCATAAGAAGTTGCATGGGAAACCCTGAGTTAATTGGCACCATGTTTCTAATTAATTCTAATAATAGTTAGAATCCTTTAATTGGGCCCCCTGAGCAATGATCCAGCACTGCCCTTTATTGTGAACTGATTAGACATAAGGAAGTAGAGGGAGATGAAGGACTTTAGAATTCTTTAAAGGCATTGTATTTGATGGGGTACATATGTAACACTGCATTTTCTCTAGCCAAATTTAGAACTATTTGAGAGAGAGAAAGAGACAGAGACAGAGAGACAGAGGCAGGGACAAGTAACTCAGGCAGTTCTCCTTGGAGGGCCTGCTTGTATGAAACCCATAGCAGAGAACAGACAGCAATGCATGGGCACTTTCTTTAGGTGCACAGATGCCAAAGGAAATAATAAAGTAGAGAGAAAGTAGGAAGCTGCATGTACTAAGGTTTTTTCTCCCAAATTCACTAATGAGATAATTCTCTCCTCCTCCTGCAGGGAGGAGTAAGGGAGGGGATGGAGAGAGGCCAAGGGTGGTACTCTGGAAAGATCCCACTACAAAAAAACCTAAGATAAGGAAAGAGGAAGTGCTTCTCCAATAGAAGACAATATCTTGGCTTACTGGATGCCATTAGAGAATATACAAGGAAAGGAAAAATAGTGACTTGGTTTGAGAAATGTTTGACTTTAGTTGCTAGTGGACATTAAGTTGCGGATATACAGTAGGAAGGTGCATATATGGATCTGGAGTTCAAGAGAGATGCTGGGCTGGAAATGTAGATTTGAGAGTCATATACATATGGATAAATAATAGTTGGAGATGGATATGAATAACAATGATTTGGGATTATGTACATAAAAAGAGGAGAAGATAACTCTTTGGAATCCTGGAGAACACCAGCATTCAAGGAATAGGTGAGAAGAAGTGAATATTAAAAAAGTAATGGAGAAAAGTAGGTAGAAGAAAAGCCAAGAGTGGCTGGGTGCAGTGGTTCATGCCTGTAATCCCAGCACTTTGGGAGGCTGAATTGGGCGGATCACTTGAGGTCAGGAGTTTGAGGCCAACCTGGCCAACATGGCAAAACCCTGTCTCTACTAAAAAGTACAATAAATTAGCTGGATGTGGTGGCGTGTGCCTGTAGTCCCAGCTACTCGGGAGACTGAGGCAGGAGAATCATTTGAACCCGGGAGGTGGAGGTTGCAGTGGGCCGAGATTGTACCACTGCACTCTAGCCTGGGCCACAGAGCGAAACCCTGTCTCCCAAACAAAACAAAACAAAAAAGCCAAGAGAAAGTGGTATTTTAAAAAATTTGATTCCTTTGGATTTATTTCTTTGTCCTGTTGACAGGTTATAGGGCATCCCAAGTATAATACTTATGATACTATAACAACAAATATTAACAGTCGAACTATTGTATTCAACTATAGTGTTGAGCACTAATGATCAATGACACAATTTGGGCATAAAGATCAAAATTTAATTATTTTATTTTAAATTTCTAGTGTATATGTGCAGGATGTGCAGGTTTGTTTCTTGTAGATTCTGGATATTAGAATCTACATGGATTGTTTTTCCATCTGTTTGTGTTCTCTCTGATTTCCTTGAGCAGTGGTTTGTAGTTCTCCTTGAAGAGGTCCTTCATTTCCCTTGTTAGCTGTATTCCTAGGTATTTTATTCTCTTTGTGGCAATTGTGAATGGGATTTCATTCATGATTTGGCTCTCTGCTTGTCTGTTGTTCGTGTATAGGAATGTTTGTGATATCTGTTCTCTCACGTTTACTGTAGCGCTATTCACAAAAGCTAAGATTTGGAATCAACCAACAGATGAATGGATAAAAATGTGGTACTTATACTCAATGAAATACAATTCAGCCATAAAAAAGAATGAGATCCTGTCATTTGCAACAACATGGATGGAACTGGAGGTCATTATGTTAAGTGAAATAACCCAGGCATAGAAAGACAAACATCGCATGTTCTCGCTTATTTGTGGGATCTAAAAATCAAAACAATTGAACTCATGGAGATAGAGAATAGAATTATTACCGGAGGCTAGGAAGGGTTGTGGGAGGGTAGGGGAGAGGTGGGAATGGTTAATGGGTATTAAAAAAATGGTTAAAAAGAATGAAAAGAACTAGCATTTGATAGCACAACGGGGTGACTGTAGTAAAAAATAATTTAATTGTACATTTAAAAATGACTAAAAGAGTATAAATTGGATTGTTTTATAACACAAAGGATAAATGGTTGAGGTTACCATTTACCCTGATGTAATAATTATACATTGCGTGACTGTATCAAAATATCTTGTGTACCCCATAAATAAATATACCTACTATGTACCTACAAAATTAAAAAGTAAAAGTAAAAAATTGAAAAAATATATTTTTGGTAGTTGTATAGAAGATGGATGAGTGGGGAATCTAGACCAGAGGTAGGGAGACCAATTAATAATTTAAGTGAGAAACAATGAGATAAAAGAAGACAATGAGAGAATTGGGAATAGATTTGAGGAATATTTACAAGGAGAAGCAGTAGGATTCCATGCCTAATTTAGGGTATGGGACACATAAGAGTTCTGAGCAGCATAAGAATTTGTTTCACCATTTATTTATTTATTTATTTATTTATTTATTTATTTATTTATTTATTTTGAGACAGAGTCTCGCTCTTGCCCAGGCTGGAGTGCAGTGACGCGATCTTGGCTCACTGCAAGCTCCGCCTCCCAGGTTCACGCCATTCTCCTGCCTCAGCCTCCCGAGTAGCTGGGACTACAGGCGCCCGCTACCATGCCCGGCTAATTTTTTTGTATTTTTAGTAGAGACGGGGTTTCACCATGTTAGCCAGGATGGTCTCGATCTCCTGACCTCGTGATCCACCCGCCTCGGTTCACCATTTATTAAATGGATTTAGAAACAAAGAAATTTTCTATGAATACAATTTGAAGATAGAAACAATTGAACATAGAAATTCATATACTAGTTTACTTTCGCTGACTAAAGCAGAGCCAGTAGGCTGAAATAGATAATACACGCAAATTAGGATAATCCAAGGAGGGTTAATTTGCCCTGGGGACTATAATTATCGACTATGATACGTGCTGTGAAGGAACAAACCAGGTGCAGATAATAACAGACTGAAGATCTTTTAAGATAAGGTGGTCAAGGGAAGGCCTCTTTGAGGTGTTAGTTCAACAAAGACCCGGATTGTAAAGAGGTCAGTCTTGAAAAGGCAAGCAAGGAAAGAATAGAGGAGTGGAATTTTTTGGCTGCCTAGCATCTGAATTCTTTTCTTGTGTGTGAGGACTTTCCACTATGTGAGTCTTGGTAGGAGGCGGGCTTCTCCAAAGCCCATTTACTGACTTTCCTAGCCTTCCTAGCAGTTAGGGTATGAGCACGTGAGCCAGGCTTGGATCAGAGTCACCTGCCCAAGTCAGTGAATCAAGAACTAGTGCTACTCAGAAGCAGAGCAGAGAAATTGTTTTAGTGGTAGTGACTGTGGTAGCAACATCCAGTTTTTGGAGCAGCGACTCCAGCTTCCTTTGTGTATGACAGCTTTACCTACAGAGGCAAAGGCAACGGGGCCCTCTTAGACTGGGTCCAGGTGTGATCTTGCCCGAAGCTCTGTTTGTCCAGGCTTGCTTTGTTTCTTCCTGTTCTCCAAACCTGGTATTCTGGCCCTCCTGGAAATTCTGTGAGCCACTCAATGCACTCCAATACATTTCTTTCAGGCTTAAATCAGCCCGAGTCAGTTTCTGGTGATTCCATCTAAGAATCCTGATGAATATGGGGGCTGGGAGAGGAATTGGAGTACATTGCAGTATTGGAGGACATTGGGATTACAGGAACGTGCAGAAGCCCTGAAGTGGGAGTGGAGGTGGAGAGAGAGCTTGGATTATTTCAGGAACTGAGAAAGAAATCAAAGTGGTTGGGGTTAGTGAAAAGGTGGCAAGTGGATAAGATGGGTGCAAGTGGACGAGCTAGGCAAGAGTCCAAGCTAGCAGGTACCCATAATAGAAGTAGGAAATGTGCTGGGCCTATTCTTTTCTCAGCCAGACTCAACTGTCTCATGTGTCCTGATCAGATGGGTCTCCATTGGTCAGCAGGACTCCAGGGCCATTCTGGTGTGGTGGTATCCACTCTGCTGTGCCAAGAAATTCCAAACCATGTCCCACACAGAAGGCTAAGCCTTGGGCTTTCCATTTCCAACCCAATGAGATCTCTCTCCTTTGAAGACCAAGATACTGTTTATGTATCCCTAAAGACATTTATAACATTCAGCTTTTGTTATATGTTTTTGAGAATTTGTCATATCCCTTACTAGACAGTTAACTCTCTGAGAACAGGGTGGGGAGGTGGAATGATTACATGCTTTGGCAAAAATACATCTGGAATTAAAAATTTTTTTGGTCCTTTCAATTACACGTTATATGATCGCAGACAAATTGTTTCACCTCTCTAACTTCAGTTTTCTTATCTGAAAAATAAGCATACTAGTATCTACTTGTCAGGAATATATCGAAGGTTATTTTTACTGCAAATCACCACACAATGCCCACAACATAGGAGGCACTCTAAATCACACAAAAGGCTCTCTGTAAATGTTAGTTCCTTTGTGTCTTTTGTAGTATTTCATTGAACAGAATAAAATCTGCTGGATTTAGGAAAACAAAATAAAATCCTTGCTTTTTGTGCTTACCTCATTGTGAAGTGCTAATTTAAAATAATGTAGATTACACTGCTTTCTCAGTTCAGAATTTGGTCAGGAAAATTTTCTTTTTCTTAAAAACTATTTTAAGGCATTATTCGCTGTGTGTGGTGGCTCAAGCCTGTAATCCCAGTGCTTTGGGAGGCCGAGGCAGGCAGATCACCAGAGTTCAGGAGTTCGAGACCAGCCTGGCCAACATGGTGAAACCCGTCTCTACTAAAAATACAAAAATTACCTGGGCGTGGTGGTGGGCACCTGTAGTCCCAGCTACTCAAGAGGCTGAGGCAGGAGAATCTCTTGAACCCAGGAGGAAGAGGTTGTGGTGAGCTGGGATCACATCACTGCATTCCAGCCTGGGCAATATAGTGAGACCCTGTCTCAAAAAAAAAAAAGTTATTGCCATTCACTCAGCTCACTTCAGAAAGTGTAGTGATTTTTAAAAATCAACAATTTATTTTCTTCAAACATCTCTGGAGATATGATCTAGGATATAAACAAAACATTGGGTCTAAAACCAGAAGGCAGATTTTATTATCTTGAGAATGCAGGAGGATATTGCTCAAGTCCTGATTATCTTAACCAAAACATTCCCTTATGCAATATTCCCTCTTTTCCATTTTAAGAACTTGAAATCATATACGCTGTATATGATTGTCATTAACTGATCAAATATGTAACTCAGCTGTTAACTTAAAAATTTTAAAACATTATAAGACAAAAATCTTAGAGTCTCTCAAGCCCCTTGCTTCCTGACTTGTTTAAGCAACTTATCTAATGGAATGAATAGAGGTCTTTCAGAACCCTTTTCTTTCCTCCTTGCCCTGATCCTTTAACATACATTTCCTGATCTCCATCTTTTAATTTCTTTCTTCTGTTTCCTAAGATTTTGGTGCAGTTTCTTTTTTCACATCTGGGGATAGGTAAAGAATAAAAGTTTTGCATTATAAATGCATGATGTTTCACTTCAAATCGCAAATGAGACAAGGCAGATTGGACAGAAGATTCATCTATCTTTTTATCTCTAGTTACTTTCTACAAACCACAGGAACTTATAACCATTGAGGGACCAGTCAAAGAAAAGCTTGATTACATAAGGTTGTTGTTTAATGACATTTTAAAAAACATATAGCCTTCTCTTTAAAAATTCCCATATTCTCAGGCTGGGCACAGTGGCTCATACTTATGATCCTAGCACTTTGGGAGGCAGAGGTGGGTGGATTGCTTGAGCTCAGGAGTTCCAGACCAGCCTGGGATGGTGAAATTCCATCTCTACCAAAATATATTAAAAAATTATCTGGGCATGGTGGTGCATGCCTGCAGTCCCACCTACTCAGGAGGCTGAGGTGGAGGATGGCTTGAGCCCAGGAAGTTGAGGTTACCATGAGCTGTGATCATGCCACTGCACTCCATCCTGGATGACAGAGACGCTGTCTCAAAAATAAATAAACAAGTAAATAAATAAATAAATATTCTCAACACTAGTGTCATTCCCAGCACTGAGAATACCCACATAGCCTTGGCGATTGGAGCCTCAGGTGAAAACATTATTACAACTTCCCACAGAGGGAAGGGAAGAAACTTTTGTTGTTTCTAAACACAAATGTGACAAATAATTAACCACTGAAAAATAAATAATCGGGCCCTTGTCATCAATTCTTGGCATGTTTGCCTTGGAATTCTAAATCACTAAAAATAACAGTTCAGATTCTCAGAGAAAAAACTTGCAAAGACTGCAGGCCAGACAAATGGAAACACTTATTGCCAAGAAAAGCACACATATAGCAAGATATATTTGTTGCATGTGAAAAGGATATGCAGGTGAGCATTGGTGTTCTTTTTGTATTGGCCCTGAGGTTTATTGTTTTAGGAGGATTTAACCAAGTTGACTTTGAAAGCATCTGTTTCTCGTAGGAAGGATTCATTTTGTCAAGTCGGGAGGAATCAAAGAAAAATCCTGCTCTTTTGTTGTAGCTTTTGTGCCCAAATAGATCACTGACTTCCAGATTTCCAAGACCAAACTCCAGTTGATGATAGGAAATAAAACTGTTTGTTAACTCAACAAACAGGTTAATTTAGGATGCTTGAACAATTATTCTGTTCTTGTTTAACTATAGGTTTTAGGTAGCATGTATCAGTGGCTTCAAAGCACAAGCCAGTATCAAGAGATTTGAACATATATTTTTTCACACACTTAAAACTCAACCAGGTTAATATGGCTTGTGCCAGATTCTCTCAAAACATAAACTTCTCCCTAGCGCTTCAGTAGGTTGGCTAATTCAGTGCAGGTGTGTGTGTCTATGCATCTCTGTGTGTTTGATGGTTAATAGAAATGGGTAGAGTTAAATCATTTGTGTTCAACTCAAAATTTGGAAGTCCATTGCTTAAGAAAAAATACATAGGCTGGTCGGGCATGGTGGCTCACTCCCAGCACTTTGGGAGGCTGAGGCAGGCGGATTGCTTCCGCCCAGAAGTTCAAGATCAGCCTGGGCAACACGGCTCTACAAAAAAATACAAAAATTAGCTGGGTAAGGAGGCGCACGCATGTAGTCCCAGCCACTCTGGAGGTCGAGGTGGGAGGATCAGCCTGGGAGATTAAGGCTGCAGTCTGTCTAAGAAAGGAAGGAAGGAAGGAAGGAAGGAAGGAAGGAAGGAAGGAAGGAAATACTTCAGTTGTACTCTTTAAAATGATTGAGATTTTAAATGGAATATTTGACAAACCAATAGAAACATAGAGCATCACAACCCAAATTCCATTTAAAATCATACCTGATGAGTACGTAAGCCTCTTATACAAAGGCAAATATCTTTCTCTATTTTCCATTTTTCCTATTCAATTACTGGAGCACTGAAATTGACCCAATGAAATGTCAAATCTAAGGCATCTTGTAGTGCCTGGTATGTTGTACATGTTCAATGAATGTTAGCTACTACCTTTTCCTTTCTCTGGATTTCTTCCTATTGCCTTTTCAATTTTTGATCCAAACAACACAGTTTAAGCATATAATAATTACATAATCTGATTCGATGAAACTGCTAATATTGTATATGTATTAATCTTATCTCCTTGTATTCGTTTCTTATTGTTGCTGTAACACATTGCCACACACGTGGTTGCTTTAAACAATACAAACATTATCTTACAATTTTGTAGTTCAGATGTCTAAAATGAGTCTCAGTAGGCCAAAACCAAGGTGTTGACAGGGCTGTGTTTCTTCCTGAGGCTGCCAGAGAAAGTCTGTTTTCTTACCTTTCCCAGATTTTACAGACTGTCCGTGTTCCTTCTATCTTCAAAGTCAGCAATGGCCAGCGTCTTTTTCACATTGCATCGCTCTGACGCTCTGACTTCCGCCTCCCACTCCCATATTTAGGGACCCTTGTGATTTCATTGACTGCACTAGTCATCATCATCAGCAGCAGCAGCAGCATCTTACATGCTGTAAGCTTCATATATGTCTCATATTTTTCTCTGTATTTCTCATAGCAACAAGAACAGTTCTAACTATGTGTTTTTGGTTGTTTCTTAAGCTAATGGAATAAGAGTTCTTAAAGGGCAGTCTGAAAAGCTCTGGTGATCTTTGACTTTCAGGTAGTATGCAAGTTGCATTAAAATTCCAAACAGAAAAATATGTAGCTTAAAAAACCCAAAAGAACATTTTTTAATATTATTACAAATTTGTAATATGTAAAAAAAGGAAATTTTAATGACATTGCTCAACAAAATAAGGGAGTACTCCAAGGAAGAAGACATGGGACCTGGAAAGAATTGTCTAGGCCAGGGCAGAAGGGAGTTCTTAGCATACAGCAGGTCTGGACACAAGCCAGATATGAGCCTGAGAATGCAGTGGAGACATGGCTAAAATGATTATAATGAAACTGCTAGACTACTTGGTATGTTCAAATGTACTGGAGGGATATTTATATGTCTTTCAGAGAGTTTAATGATGACTCATAGCAAATTAATCAAATAAAAATATGAGGAAATTATTATACCATAAAGAAAATGTATTTATAGTATACTATGTAGCTTAGCTCTGAATAATATTAACAAAATGATAATAATGTAAACATTGAATATTGGTTGAATGAAAATTATGCCAAAACTACATAAGAGGATGAAAAGAGAAAGAAGATGTACCAGGGGGTGAGGGATGTGGGGGCTGTATCTGGGTAAGAATCAAATTCTCATCTACCATAGTAGGAAGTCAGAAAAAAAAATCAAAATACTAGAAGAAACAGCTAAAAGTACAGATATTATTAGTGGGGAGGTTCAGGACAGGACCTTTCTATTGCTATTTGACTGTGTAAATGATATATGTGTGTTATTTTGGCAAAAATTACAATTAAGACAAAAATTTACCCGTATTTATTTTGAAAATAAAAAAGCAGGGATTATTTACAAAGGCAAAATCCCTGCAAGTGTTGTTTCTTTTCTTTCTTTCTTTTTTCTGCTTCTGGCAAGTAGTAGTTTCCAGAAACTTTTATTCTAACCCAAAGTGATTTTATTGTTGTTGTTCTTTGGTTCCAGAAGTTGAAAGACTTCAGTATGACTTAGCCAATTAATAAACACGACTAGCTGCAATGAGACAGGCCAGGTAAGGTCCTCGGACAGTGCCTGTACAAAATGATCAGGAAAAACTGTACTAGAAGTGGCCAGGTGTTTAGGAAGAATATTACCAGAGATAAAGATAATATTGAAAAGGAAACATTCTTGCTTATATTTCTGTCAAACTGAACTATTCCAAGTTTCCAAAATGTGTTGTATTTTCTTAGCTACCGATTCTTCATACGTACTTTATGAGGCAACTGTAATTAGTCCTGCCGCTCCTGGTATTACCTTTTTACCATACCTGTAGGAGGCTTTCCATACTTGATGGAGTTTTTAATAATTAACAGAATGACATATCTAGAGGAGATAATTTAGTTCAAATTAAGCTTGGGTAGAGCCTCTTACCTCTTTCCTGCTATCTTAGTTTTCCCTCTCCCTACCTTCCAGTCTAACTGTGATGAGCACATGGTCAGCCAATGACTTAAGGGACAGGGAGACAAGACACTTAAAATCAAAACTGTTTCAGGAATTCCAGCAAATATGGCTCTCAATTGTGTAGATTTCTTTTAACGTACCAAGGTTTGGGGCAAGATGATAAATTCACAGGTTATTTTTCTTCTATTTGTTTTCCCGGTTAAGAGGCCCCATTACTCATTACACATTTTCCCATGAAGTTGCACAGTTGGATTAGCTGATTCCAGAAAAAGGTGTCTGGATGCAGAAGGAGCTGCAGCAACCAGCCCCAAAAAGCCAGTCAAAGAATGGCTGGCTATTGATACAACCCGAGGCAAAGCAACTGTTTCTTCCCATGACTAAACAATGAGGATGACTCTGTTCTATTGCAGTGTATTCATTCAGACAATATTTATTGAGTATCCTAGTGCCTGGCACTGTTCTAGCTACTGGGGACACAGCTGCGAATACAGTGACACAATTCTGCCTAATTGTATCCTTTTCAGATTCAACCATGAAAATGAAGAAGAGTACAGTTGAATTTTTCACCCCCTAATCAAAGTCCAATCCAGATTTTGCCAATTCTTACTTGGCAGTATTTAACCAAAAGTTTCATAGGAATGAGGCTTTCTTATGAATTTGCAGTGTTCCCAGATTCTGATCCTTCAGGAAAAACAAACTTTATTTCTGCAGTACTTTGTCCTCTTCTGTGTGTTCCACTACCATGCCACCTCTCAGATAAAGAACTAAATTCCATGAAAAGCCACAACTACCTTGTAGTAGAAATCAGTCCCTAATGATATTACACTTGCACAAATTGAAATGGGGTTAAAAGCTCACATTGTGGAATCTTAGATTTCTTGCTAAGCTGGAAGCTTTTATGGGGCTCACTTTAAATTGAGAGGCAGAGTTTAGACCCTTTTGTTACTTAAGAGATTGAGCAAATTAGCAAGTCCAAGGCAAATCTTTTTAGATTACTGAACTATTACAAATGTCTCCTGGCCAAAGAATAACCTCTCTCCACAGAGAAATGTTCAGCAGGACCTTTTGCTTAAATTCGTAAAATCTGTTAAAGCAAATCTCTCACATTTCCATTAAGTCAGTAAATTACTTCTAGGGGAAAAAGATAAAATGCTGATGATAAAATGGCTGGACTATATTAATGATGGGAGGTGGGGCTGGAGAGGCGGAAGAATTGATGCCACATTTATGGTGCAGAGAATTTCAGCCTTTTTCACGTGTTGGGCTAAATGTAAATGATGTCACCTTCTCCTCCCTGAGTGAGAGGCAAAGTTATCAGGCCGCAGAGGCTTCACAGAACGCATTCTGTGGCTGACATTAAAATGACTACAAGGTTATTTCTTTCCATATCTATTCTCTTGGAATTTTTTCAAGATTTTATTGTAGATGGGAAAAATGCATAATGCTTACAGAAACAAAGCCCTAGCTACATTCTTGCTACTGGATTATTGTCATTCTATCTCGATGCTGATTGAAATCCAAGACTTTGTATCGAAGCCTTAATGAGATGCTGGCAAATATCTTTCTGCCCCACTGGAAATGTAATCTTTCTATTGAACATTTTGTACCAGTGAATTTCATCTGCAATAGCATTTTGCATTTGAATCAGAGAGGTCACTGCTTGAGAGCAG
This sequence comes from Homo sapiens, assembly GCF_000001405.40. Classification (NCBI taxonomy): domain Eukaryota; kingdom Metazoa; phylum Chordata; class Mammalia; order Primates; family Hominidae; genus Homo; species Homo sapiens. The sequence goes on along the minus strand of NW_025791761.1, from coordinate 98,214 downwards.
ACCATGTGGTACTGGCTTAGTTCACTTTTGGGTGAAATTGATCCCTAAAGGTGTTGAAAGTATAGTAGTGAGTCATTATAGATAATTAGCTCATTGTTTCATTTAGATGATTAGAGACATAATACCAGTGTGCAATCTGTTATATTTCTAAATATCAGATTTTCCTATAAAAATGACCGGCCAAATCTTATGTTCACAATGCATCAAGTAGATTGAATTAGTATATTATCTTTTAATGTATCTTATTTATTTATGTTAGATTTACTTAGGGAGACTCATGCATGTCATAACAGTTGTCCCTAAAATGGTAAGATTTTTCTAGCTTTTTCTCAGTTTCGTGTGAATGAAGTAGTTTATGCTGTGAACATAAGCTAAAATATAAAGTAGAAATACTCTCTCCCTTGCCTAACCATCAACATTTTCTTGGCCTTTGGACAGTTAATCATCAAGGAAAAGTGCTAAATTGTACTCTTGCTTGCTAAGGTTGAGATAGCAGAAAAGGAAGCAACTACGGTCTTTTATACAGATAAGAAGCAATAACAAAACATTTTAAAATATTTGGCTTGGTAGTTAAACTATTTATTTCATGTCTATAAGCAATAAAGCATACATGGTAGGAAATGCATATATATATGTATGCATGTTTTAAAAGTAAATGTATGCCACCAAAATATAAAAACTGTTGCTTTTCATGCTGTGCTAATATCAAAAGACTGAGCATTTAACTGCTATAGGGACATGGCTTTTCAAGTAAATTTGCAAATCAAAAAGGCCTACCATTGCCTTCATTGAATTCACTTAAATAGTGGCAGCTTACTGTTCTATGCAATATGATCAAGTTAATCAAAAGATGAATAGAACCACAAAAGAGATTTGCCTATATTAAGAGACCAAAAGATTGGGCTGTAAAACCCAATTATTGGTATTCCAAGTGTGGAAGAAATTCAAGAAAGTGTGAAGCTAGTAAATAATGGAAGAATTTTAACTTTGAGAAAAAATAAAACCTATTACAATTTCAGAATAGTAAGTTCATTACCATCATAATGTAATAACCTTGTTATGATACTGTTAGGTATAGAGAAATAAACTGAACATTTTGGTAGAATTATTTAAAAGGCTAATATAATTTTCTGTAAGTAGAAACATTATTTATAAAAATATTTAAATGTACCTATTGAAATTTGCAATATATATTTAAAACAACATTGTACAAATACTTTGTTTTTTAAGTATTTATTTATTTTTTAAATTATATATATATTTTTTATTTCAGTAGCTTTGGGGGTACAAGTAATTTTTGGTTACATGAATGAATTGTATAATGGTGAAGGCTGAGATTTTAGTGTACCATCACCTGAGTAGTGTACATTGTATCTAATATGTAGTTTTTTTATCCCTCACCCACCTCCCATGCACCTCCCTTCTGAGTCTCCAGTGTCCATTATACCACTCTGTATGCCTTTTGTACAAATGCTTTTAACCAGCAAGTCCACGTTTCAGAAATTACACTAAGGAATTTAAGAGTTTAATAAGAAGGTTTAAAAGGAATTTAGCTACAATTATCATAGTACTTTTAATTATAACAACAAAAACTTAGAAAAGCCTCAGGATCTCACACTAATGATTTGGTTGTGCATATTACTTATAATATAGAACATACAGATTCTATATAATAGAGTACTATGTAGAGATTATAAATGATGTTGCAAAAATATAATTGCAGAAATGTATTTGTTGATATGGAAATCTACTTGCAATGTTATGCTATGTAAAAAAAAACAACCCCAGTTTACATAAGTGTTCATAGAAAATGATCCTACATACATGAATATACGTGTGTGTGTGTGTGTGTGTGTGTGTGTGTGTTCAGGAAAAGCAGTCACCAAAATACTGAGTGTTTATCTCTGAGGGGTGGATTATATGTGATTTTTATTTTCATTTTGCTTCTGTATTTTTGATTTGCATATTTTTTTAAAAATTACAAATACAACAGGAATAAATTGTTCCGTAGTGCCAGAAATGTTATACAGTATATTATTCTAAGTAGAATTAAATACAGTATATTATTCTTTTTTTTTTTTTTTTGAGATGGTGTCTCGCTTTGTCACCCAGGCTGTAGTGCAGTAGCCTGATCTTGGCTCACTGCAACCTCTGCCTCCCGCCAAGCAATTCTCCTGCCTCAGCCTCCTGAGTAGCTGGGACTACAGGCACTCACCACCACGCCCGGCTAATTTTTGTATTTTTAGTAAAGACAGGGTTTCACTGTATTGGCCAGGCTGGTCTTGAACTCCTGACCTCAGGTGATCCGCCTTCCTCGGCCTCCCAAAGTGCTGGAATTACAGGCATGAGCCACCGCGCCCAGTGTAATGGCTTATTTTACAGCAAGAAGTGATCAGTTGTCTTCCATGATCACTAAAGACAGGTTAAGAGCCGGAATTACAGCCTCAGAACGCTCCATTGCCATTTCAAAGAGCCAGACAATTGTGTATTGATTATCTGTCTTTCTCCTCGGTGTTAAAATCGTCTCTTTATCAAGCACTTGCTATGCATCAGGTTCTCTAAACACTTTACATGCTTTTTTCTCCATTACATGTTTATATCCACCCTGTATAGTAGCCATTATCTACCCTGATTTATGGACGAAAGGACTCATGTTTAAAGATTTCAATTCTTTCTCAAGTTTACATAGTACAAGTTAGATGGCAGAACCAGGTCTATTTCAAACCCTTGTTCTTAAATGCTACTTTTATATCATTTTGGATGCATTTGGCTGCAAGTAACAGAAAATCTCAACTCAAATTGTCTTAAAGAAAATGTCATAACTTGCAAAACCAGAGATGCGGAGGTCATGTGGCTCCAGGGCACCTTGTCAGGGCATCAATTTCTCTTGGCAGGGATTCTATTGGCTCTTCCTTCCTCTATGTCTTGGCTTCATTCTCAGGCTGATAGCAAGACACTCGTCAGTTCCAAGCATGATATCCAAACACAAGACCATCCAGAGAAAGAAAGGAACCAAACCTTTCTTGTCTTTCATTTAAGAATTAGGAGACAAAAAAAAATGAGGAGACTTCCTGGAAATCTCTCCTCCCCCACAGACTTTCTCCTGTGTCTGTTTTATCAGAATTCAGTCATGTACAGATTCTTAAAACACTTACTAACAAGAGGTAAGATTATTGTGATTGACTTAGATTTATTATCTCGGATGAAGTAGACTCTGATGACTAGGAACTTGGACCACTCTATTGCCTTCTAGAAAAGCAGTTATTATTAATTAATTGGAATGCTCAGAGCCAAGTTTCAGGCCTCCTACTAGCAATTTATGAACTTTGGATATTAACATTACCCTGTACTTTATCTTATTTTCTACTTCAGTTTTCTCACATCATGTTTATTTTTTAAAATATTGAAATGTGTGTCTAATTGTAAGTGACCTTGGATCCTTTATGGAATGAGGTGGAGTAAAAATAATGGTTAAGTAGCTATTTAAACATTTCAAATTTTAAAAAGTACTGATTTTATTTCCAACATGCTTTATTATCTGCGAACTACTTACAAAGAAAAGGGCTAGTACAAATTATGTGCATATTTATGACATTTTGGGGCTATTCTGTAAAGCTGGGTTATTTTTTAGGAGGAACTCCTTGACAATGATTATTGTTAAGCCTAGGATTCAAGTGATGAGGGACATTATTAGATTTCCTCTGGAGGTCTGCATATAAAAAATTAAGACCCTTAACTACCGACATGATCGAAGCAGTTTTGCTAGATGAAGAGGGCCCAATCAATCAATTATTTATTCAAAATCTTACTTCTTATTTTTCTACACACTGAGCAGGGCAGAAAAATATGAGATTCAGATCTTGCCCAAAAGGAGTTTACAACTGAAATGGAGAAACACCCCCAGCCCCATATATACAACAATCAGATAAAAGTCCCATACTCTACCTGATGAAGGCAGCTATGGGATGAACTCCCAGTTTTCCCATTTGTAGTACAGGGAATTTGGGCTGGCTGGATAATTCCTTGGTTCTGGCAGTGCTTTAACCTTCTGAAATCCTGTGGTGCGTACTTCTAACACTGAAAGTCTGTCATTATTTCTTCTCCACTTATCCATTTTAATAAGGTTAAAATACAGACCTTAAATAACACAGAAAATCCAGAACCTAGGCAAGTCCTGATAGATCAGACTACTCAAGTGATGTATTTTTTAGGTACCTTTATTGGGGGCAAACTGCACATCACTGCAGAAAAAAGCTTATGTTAGGTTGGGATTTATCAAAACAAAAGATAACTTCTAGGATAAATTGTGAGTTCCTCTCTTAAACCTTTAAGATCTACAACTAACAAATGAGGCTCAGGATGGTTAGTTTGAGGCACGAGAAGATCCTGATTTACAAAAGATTCAAATATGATCACTGTGCCATACTTGTGAAAGAAAGCACATGGCACACAGTAGGTGCTCAATAAATGTTTATTGAATGAAATAAAATGAATGAGTGAATGAATAAAGGAGTGAGTGAATGAATGAATTATTTTCATCTAAGTGTTTCGGGCTGGGTTCCCTGCAAAGCTGAGTCAGAAGGCACTGACCAGGAGGACCAGGGAGAGGAGGAAGGGGAGGATGAAGGCCAAGGAGAAGTTGAGCCTGGTGCAGTCCTAATGAAGGCCTCAGCTCACCATAGTGAGAGTTCTGGAACTGGAGTAGTTCTGAAGTATAGCTCCAAGCTGGTATAGCTCCAAGTTGGTATAGCTCCAAGCTGGCCTTTGTACCCATTTTGATCAGTGTTAGCTATGAGCTCCCCATAGAAGGAACCCTGCCATGGACAAAGCAGCTTCTTTCAGCTGAGGCAATCCCCAAAGAAGGCTAACAGCTAAGACTTCCTTCTGGCAGCTCTCCCAGGAGTCCAGGGAATAAGTCTGCAATGGATTGAATGGTGGCCCCCCAAAAGATATGTCCCCATTGTAACCCCCAAAACCTGTGAATGTGACCTCATTTGGAAAAAGGATCTTTGTAGATGTAAATAAGGACCCCGAGAAGAGATCATCCTGGATTACCTGGGGGTTCCCTAAATCCAATGACAAGTGTCCCTATAAGAGATAGAAGAGGAGACTACCCAGAGACACAGAGGAAAAGGCCATGTGAAGACAGAGGCAGAGACTGGAGTCATGCAGCCACAAGCCAAGAAATGCCTGGAGCCATGAGAAGCTAGAAGAAACATAGAGGATTCTCCTCTAAAGCCTTCAGAGAAAGCACGGCCCTGCCTACACATTGATTTCACACTTTTGGCCTTCATGGCTATGAAAAAATAAGCCCATGTTGTTTCAGGCCATTCAGTTTGTGGTAATTTTTGTGGCAGCCCTAGGAAACTAACACAAAGTCCTTCTTCCTGACGGGCATCTGGGTAACTTATCACAGTGTCCACGAAAGATTCAGTTTAATGGGATTTCTGGTTAAAGCTATGAAAACTCAGAAATCTTTCTTTTGGAATATTTCAATTCGATTAAGTTTTTTTGTGTGTGTGTGTGAGGGGTACTGCTCAAAAGAAGTGATAAAAAAATGGACACTAGTAATCTTAACAATCATTATTCGTACCCATAGAATTAATCCAGACTCCGAGGTTGGTATCTGTTCTCATTGTAAAATGACCTAATTAACTGACAGGACCCCCACAGAATTCCTGAAGAGGAAGGCTTAATTGGTATTCTTTGAGAAAGACCTACCCTACTTACTTTACATCTTACCTAAAAATGGTATTTTTGCTGTAGTATATCATATTTCCAAAAAGAACTATTTCTTGGTTTGAAGGTAGCAGCCATACATTTATAGATTTTTACCCAGAGTAATCCAAATTACACACATTATGTGACTGTAATTGCTTATAAACTATGTATGCTATAATTTAATTGTATTTTGAATAAGTGATTTGCATTTTGTAAGGAGCATTTGGTATTTAGCCACTAAGTCACTGGGAGAAAAGAAATCATAATGATATGGAAGGTTTTAAAATATTTACATTTCAACTAAGTAAAGATGGGAACATCCCAGGTTTTTCTTACAGAGAATTAAAGTAATCTTTACCATCCAGAAATAATGCCCCATCAAGAAAATTACATTTGTGCTATTTGAAAGGAGAGGGAGGATATCTATGAAACATAAAGGACAGAATTGAAGGTGGAAAATCAGCATAGCTTATTTGTGAAAAGGCTCTCGTTCCCGTGAAATTTTGATGTATTCTTTACATCCTCAAATTGTTTCCCTTCATTGTTGAGTGTCACAAGGCAGAGAAATCTGGAAGTACCACGCCGTGAATGGGACTGAATTCGTTTCAAAAATATTTCAAAATAGGTAATTACGAACAGATAATTGAAATTCTTATTTAGCAATCAGTATTATTTCAAATGACTGCAAGATTCTTTTTTTCACATCTAGGCAGTACTAACTGGTTACATCAAACACACACAAAAATGTTATATCTGGGAATGTTAAAAACATTGATTAAAATAAAAATCCTGATACCTGGGCTTCAGGCCAATTTTGTAATGCTTTTAAATCAAAGGTGGTCTTACTGATGGTATAGGAAAGGAAAAAGAAAGTGAATATAGCAGGAAGGAACAAAGAGAGAATGACAGGGAGAGGAAGAGATGGGAGAAAGGAAGACTGGGGAGAGGGGAGGAGTGGAATCGAATGAAAACCACAGACAGACAAACATTCAAGTAGCAGAGATTTTCAGTCTTAAACTCTTCTAGAGAATAAACAGATTAAGAGCATGACTTAACTCATTTTTGAAGCTAGTATAGCCTTAATACCAAAAGCAAGCAAGGGCAGTATAAGAAGGAAAATTTACAGGGCAGTTTTTCTCATGAATATAGGTGTACAAATCACAGAAAAAGTATAGGCAACCCAACCCGGGTGTAGTGGTGCAGCCTGTAGTGGGAGACCGAGGCGGAAGGATCTCTTGAGCCCAGGAGTTCGAGGCTGGAGTGAGCTATAATGATGCCACTGCACTACAGCCTGGGCAACAGAGTGAGACCCCATCCAAACAAACAAACAAACAAAAATTTGGCAGCCTGAATCCAGCAATGTATAAAAAAGATAATAAGCCATGATGAGGTTAGTTTTATTTCAGGAAGTCAGTTAGTTTAACATCAGAAAATCTTTTTATGGTTATTACATTAACAAAATAAAGGAGAAAATGCATGTGACTATTTTGATCAATGTAGAAAAAGGGTTTGGTATCCATCAAGGTTTCATGATTTCAAACAATCCTTAGCAAATCAGGAACAGATAGGAACTTTTTAACCTTATAAAAGATACCTACCAATCATATCAACATTAAATGTAAAATGCTAAAATAATTCTCTTTAAGACAAGCGTCACATGTTCTGACTTTTATGTAGAAGCTAAAATATTTGAACACATGGAGGCAGAGAGTGGATAAATAGATAACAGACTAGGAAGAGTGAGTGGGGTAGGTGAGGAGGATGAAGAGAAAGGGTACAAAAATACAGTAAAATAGAAGGCATAAATGCATGCAATGTTTGATAGCAGAGTAGGATGACTATACTTACAAAAAAGTATTGTACTCAGGTGATGGACATCCTAATATTCCGACTTGATCACTACGCATTATATACATATAAAAAATTTCTTATGTACCCCATAAATTGTCACAAATTTTAAAAATGACTTAAATAGATGGAGAAATACATTATGTTCATAGGTCAGACTATTCAAATTTATAAAATGTTTACAAAAATTGGATTAACAAAGTAAAGGAAAAATTATATCATATTGAAAGATGGGAAAAATATTCTATAAAATTCAGCACATTTGTTTATAATTTAAACAAATAAGCCTCTTAGCAAACTAAGACTAGGAGGAAACTTCCTTAATACATAGCAAACAATATATTCAATATTGGAATAATAGCATTTTCTGCAAACTAAGGACAAATAAATGGTGTCATTTCTGTTCAACATTTTACTGGAGGATCTAGGTTGTGCAATAAGATTAGGAAAAGTAGTAAGTTACAGTCAAATTATCAGAATTAATAAGAGTTTATCAAGGTTGTTTTATATAAGATGTATATAAATACTAAATTTTATTTCTAAATACCAGTAGCAAAGAGATTAAAAATATAATTTAGGGCCGGGCATGGTGGCTTATGCCTATAATCCCAGGACTTTGGGAGGCTGAGACAGGCGGATCACGAGGTTAGGATATAGAGACCAGCCTGGCCAACATGGTGAAACCCCGTCTCTGCTAAAATACAAAAATTAGCTGGGTGTGGTGGCATGCATCTGTAATCCCAGCTACTAGGGAGGCTGAGGCAGGAGAATCACTCCAACCCGGGAGGCAGAGGTTGCAGTGATCCAAGATCGCACCATTGCACTCCAGCCTGGACGACAAGGCAAAAAAAAAAAAAAAGTAACTTAAGAAGAACAAAAAACATATTGTACCTAAGAATTAACCTAACAATATGAATTTAAGATCATTATAGACAAAATTATAAAACTCAATAGAAAGATATTAAAGAAGACCTAAATAAAAGAAGTATGATATTCATAGGAAGAGAGAATCAGTATGATAAGAGTGTGAATATTCTCCAAATTGATCTAAAGAGTCCATGTAACTTCAATTAAAATCTCAACAGAGCTTGTCACAGAACTGGCAAGCTGACTCTAAAATTACATATACAACAGCAAAGGTCAAGAATAGCCAAGACACTCTTGAAGAATAGGAGACTTGCTCTACCCAGATATCAAAACTTAATAGAAAGCCACAGTAATTAAGCCATTATGATACTGACATAGAGGCAGACAGAATGGAGAGCCCAGAAACAGACTCACACATATGTGAAAACTTGCTCTGTCACACATCTGGTATTACAGATCATTTAGGAAAGAAGGGTCTAAACAAGAAATAGTACTGGAAAATTGGATATCCATATAGGAAAAAAAAAGTGGAATTGGACTCCTACCTCACACCATACCCCAAATTTCTTTTTTTTAAACTTTTATTTTAGGTTTGGGGGCACATGTGAAGGTTTGTTTTATGGGGAAACTCGTGTCATGGGGGTTTATTGTACAGATTATTCCATCACCCAGGAATTAAGCCCAGTAACCAATAGTTATTTTTTTCTGCTCCTCTCCCTTCTCCCACCCTCCACCCTCAAGTAGGCCCCCGTGTCTATTGTTGCCTTCTTTGTGCTCATGAGTTCTCATCATTTAGCTCCCACTTATAAATGGAAACATGCGGTATTTGGTTTTCTGTTCCTGCATTAGTTTGCTAAGGATAATGGCCTCCAGCTCCATCCATGTTCCTGCAAAAGACATGATCTCATTCTTTTTTACTATACACCAAATTTCAATTCCAGTTTAAATTAAAGATACAAACGTGAAAAGCTAAATTTTTAGAATAAGTTATGAGAAAATATTTTTATGACCTTAGGTTTCTTAAATAAGATACACAAAGTTCTAACTGAGGAAGTGTGATGAATTTTACTTCATTAAAATTAAGAACTCCTGATCATCAAAAGACTACCATCAAGAAAATGAAAAGACAAGTCATAATCTGGAAGAAGATATTTGCAACACACATAACCAACAAATCACTGGCATCTAGAATTTATGAAAATTTTACAAATCAATATAAAAAGAAAAAACGTGATAGAAAAATGAGCAGAAAGCATGAACAAACATTTCACAGACAAGAAACAGGAATGACCAATAAACATGAAAAGATGCTTAACCTTATTAGTAATCAGGGAAATACAAATTAAGATAATGAGGGGATACCATTTACATCCACCATATTGGCACATACTTAAAAGTTGGAAAATATCAAATACTAGCAAGACAGTGAAGCAACTGGAATTTTCATATACCACTGATGGGAATATAAATGGATATACCTACTTTGGAAAACAGTTTGCCATTATGTAATAAAGGTAAATACAGGCATACTCTGTGATTCTACTCCCTGTATGTATAACCAATAGAAATCCATTTATATGTTCACAAAAACATATATATTCATAACATATATAATGAATGTATTGAGTTTCCAACTCAAATGTCCCCCAACAAAAGGATGGATACGAAATGGTGTTTAAGCTGTAGATTCCCATGGAACAGTATAAACGAACTACAGCTACTAAGATAGAGATGATTTGTTTTTGAAATGGAGTCTTTCTTTCTTTAATTTTTAATTATTGTGGGCACATAGTAGGTGTATATATTTATAGGGTACATGAGATGTTTTGATACAGGCATGCAATGTGAAATAAGCACATTATGGAGAATGTGGTGTCCATCTCCTCAAGCATTAAGGACAAACAATCCAATTATACCCTTTACAGTTATTTTAAAATCTGCTATTAAGTTAATGTGTTATCAAATAGCAGGTCTTATTCTTTTTTATTTATTTATTTTTCCTTCCTCCCTCCCTCCCTCCCTTCCTTCCTTCCTTCCTCCTTTCCTTCCTTCCTTTCCTTCCTTCCTTCCCTCCCTCCTTCTTTCTCTCTCTCTCTCTCTCTCTCCCCTTCTCTCTCTCTCTTTCTCTCTTTCCTGTCTTGCTCTGTCACCCAGGTTGGAGTGCAGGGACACAATCTCAGCTCGCTGCAATCTCTACTTCCCGGGTTCAAGCAATTCTCCTGCCTCAGCCACCTGAGTAGCTGGGACTACAGGCATCCACCACCATGCCTGGCTAATTTTTATATTTTTAGTAGAGATGCGATTCCACCACGCTGGCCAGGCTGGTCTCAAACTCCTGACCTCAAGTGATCTGTCTGCCTCAGCCTCCCAAAGTGCTGGGATTACAGGCATGAGCCACTGTGCCCAGACTTATTAATTCTTTCTAATTATTTTTGTAGCCATTCTTCTACTATCTATGTCCATGAGTTCAATTGTTGTGATTTTTAGATCCCACAAGTAAGTAAGAACATGTGAAGTTTGTCTTTCTGTGCCTGGCTTATTCCACTCAACATAATGATCTCCAATTCCATCCATATTGTTGCAAATGACAGGATCTCATTGTTTTTTATGACTGACTACTACTCCCTTGTGTATATGTACCACATTTTCTTTATCCATTCATCTGTTGATGGACACTTAGGTTGATTCCAAATCTTAGCTATTGTAAACAGTGCTGCAACAAACATTGGAGTGCAGATGTCTGTGTGATATACTGATTTCCTTTCTTTTGGGTATATACCCAGCAATGGGACTGCTGGATCATATGGTAGTTCAATTTTTAGTTTTTTGAGGAACCCCCAAAGTGTTCTCCATAATAGTTGTACTAATTTACATTCCCAGCAACAGTGTACAAGAGTTTTCTTTTCTCCACATCCTTGACAGCATTGGTTATTGCCTGTCTTTTTGATATAAGCCATTTTGACTGGGGTTTGAAATAGAGGCTTGCTCTGTTGCCCAGGCTGCAGTGCAGTGGTGCAATCATGGCTTACTGCAGCTTTGACCTCCCAGGCTCAAGCAATCCTCCCACCTCAGCCTCCAGAGTAGCTAGAACTACAGGCATGAACCGCTATGCCTGGCTAATATTTAAAAATTATTTTTTTGTAGAGATAGGGTCTCATTATATTGCCCAGGATGTTCTCGAACTTTTGGCCTCAAGTGATCCTCATGCCTAGGCCTCCCAAAATGCTAGGATTATGTGCCTGGCCAAGAGCTGAATCTTATAAACATAATATTGAGAGGAAAAGCCAGTTGCCAAAGTATTCACAAAGTATATTATATAAAGTCTAAAACCAAAGTATATCATATAAAGTCTAAAAACATGCACAAATGAACCATTTATTGTTTAGGGTTATAATGATATATGGTAAAAACAACATAAAAACAAGAGAATCATAAGCAATTTCCGGATAATGGTTATCCGAGAGTAAGGTTGGGACTAGGGAGAGGCAAATAAGGGGCAAACATGGGTACATGGAGTCCATTTTATTTTTTAAATTTAATTCACTAATACATACATGTTATAGTATATGTAGTTTATAAAATATTTCAGATGGAGGAAACTAACACTATCTTAGCTATACTCTTAGAACTAAAATAATTCTGATTTTATAAATGGGGCAACTGAGGCTTTTGATTGTATTTATCAGATTAATCTAAATCTGGGAAGTATTGATGTTAAATCTTAATAACCTGAGAAAAAAGGAACAAAATGCCAGGAGAAAGAGGAAGTTAGAAAAGAGGAAGTAGAATGATGGTCAGAGAGACAGAGAAGAGAAAGAAGAGATGTCTGGACAGAGCTAATTTAGGAATACATTTTGGTGTTTTTAAAATCCGGTTACCACCTGCTTAACCTCTCTGCTAAAAAATAATGCACTTAGTAACATCACCAGTCTATATTCTCTAATGCAGAGAGTAAACACTTGCCTGGTATCTTGCCTCTAAATGTCTCTAGATTCAGAACACTGGTTACCTGGGAGAACCCATAGTCTTCCACCATCACACTGTAACACTGATTAGTTAACCATATTAGTTAGTTGAAGCCTTAGATCTGGAGATGATGAAAGTTAGAGCCAGCTAAACTGGAGGAGTGGTGTGGCAGGGAAAGAAGGAAGCCCAGGAGGTTGGACACAGTAATCCTAGGCTGGAGAAGATACAGGGAGGATGAGAAAACAGAAATTTGGGTGCCTAGAAATCTGGCCCTAGAAAAGGGAAGGAATAGTTTTGTCCAAGATCAGTCCTAGCCTGAAAAAAGAAGAAAAGGGAGAAGTAAAGAAAAGGGAGAACAGACCATCATCAAGTCAACTCCATTAACTTTGTGTGTGTTTCCATTCATGAAGTTTTGTTATAAACTAGTGATAGGAAACTTTAAAAATCTAATATTACCTAAGGTGGGATTACATGATTCCCTTATAGGAGGCTGATATGTGGTAGGATTTGGGGATTTTGGAGATGGTCCCAAATCTTAGCTAAAAGTATGTCCACAGTCCCCATTAGGTGTCTGAAATTCTGTTAGGGAAGGTCTTCATGACTTGTCTTCCCTCTGCCAAGGAAAATGGCAAATGTTTCTTTCTAGAAGTGCTTTTTCTTTGAAGGCAGAAAGTTCTATGGGCTGACCTGCTGAATGTAGCCTAGAAGCTGAGCCTGATATAAAATTTTAGGAGATAACTTAAAGTGCCATCAAGCTTAAGTGAAAAGGATGCAGGGCAACTTTTCAATCTGCAGACCCTGTTGTCAAGGAAAAGCCAGCACAAATGGAAACCCTCAGGTGGATACCAGCTGACTCCTTGCCACCGCACCCTACCGCTCTCTCTGATCTGTTCTGCCTCAGGTCTCTTGGCAGACAAAACCCATTAGATATTTAGTTTGTCAGTTTATGAGGCTTTGCCTCATCTGGCAAACCTTTTTTTTTTTTTTTTTTTTGAAATGGAGTTTCACTCTTGTTGCCCAGGTTGGAGTGCAATGGCGCGATCTCGGCTCACCACAACCTCTGCCTCCCAGTTTCAAGCGATTGTCCTGCCTCAGCCTCCTGAGTAGCTGGGATTACAGGCATGCGCCACCACGCCCAGCTAATTTTGTATTTTTAGTAGAGATGGGGTTTCTCCGCATTGGTCAGGCTGGTCTCAAACTCCTAACCTCAGATGATCCGCCCTCTTCAGCCTCCCAAAGTGCTGGGATTACAGGCATGAGCCACCGCACCCGGCCCAGCAAACCTCTTTCTAAGTGACATCTGTTGAAGGATTAACATGTTAAGAGAAAATATACTATTGACATTTTGGTGAGAATGAGTTGGTTATATTCTTTCCTTCTTGAAACCCAGAGATGAGCAGGGCAGAGAGGGAATAGAAATGTAGCTGGGGTCATGGAAAAGAAAGGAATCAATTTTGAAGTGCAGAGTAAGGTCCAGGAGGAGTGGTCTATGTGATGCCAGAATGCAAGCAAGGTCTTAGCATCAGGGAGGTAGGTAATGGCAAAGAAAGCCTGGGAGGAGACCACCCAAAGGACTTGTTGAGAGTACCCAAAGACAAAGCCATGTGCCATAGTGTGTTACTACATGAGTTCCCAGACATATGTGTCTGGCTCAGTGATCCGGAAGGTTTCTTCAATCTTGCTAAATAACTTTACCTATGTCAATATTGTATATAGTAAAGAATTATGGTGGGATGTGCACAAAGTATTAACAGTGCTATACATTGGTTGTGTCTGAGGAATTTTAAGGCTGTCTCCCTCTTCCTTTATTATTTATTTTTCAGGTTCTCATGGTTGAATTTCTACAATGAATTTCTACACTTCCTAAGTAGTCACTTCTTAGGAAGTTGCTTGACTCCTCCAAATTCCTTCTTTTCTAAGAATATTCCCAATGTGTAAAAGTAGGCCCCAAGGGACTTTGTCTGCAACATATGACCCTGTCTCCCTTCCACTGATGATGAACCCAAGATTGGGTTAAATTAATTAATTAATTAATTAACCCAAGCTGAGGCAATCAAATTCTCTCTCTCCTTGAGTATCAATTAGGATTCTCTGGGCCACAAGTAACAGAAAACCACAAGTCCACTGTTTTAAACACTAAGGGCAATTACTATCTCATGTAACAAGATACTCAGGGGCAGAGTAGTTACATAATGACACCAAGGAAGCAGGGATATTCTACGATGAGATAAAAAAACACAGCTTCCTTCCCACTTTCAGTGTGGACTTGATCATGTTAGCTTTGATCTTGGCTAGCAATCCTTGTTGCTGCAAAATGGCACTCTCTAGGCTCACTGCAACCTCCGCCTCCTGAGTTCAAGCGATTTTCCTGCCTCAGCCTCCTGAGTAGCTGTGATACAGGTGTGCACCACCACGCCTGGCTAATTTTGTATTTTTAGTACAGTCTGGGTTTTACTATGTTGGCCAAGCTAGTCTCGAACTCCTGACAGGTAATCTGCACACCTTGGCATCCCAACGTGCTGGGATTACAGCAAGCCTCACCACTGTGGGCCAAAGAGCTCTGGGGTTCTAAATAAACTTGAAAGGCAGTCTAGGCATGAGGACTGCAATTCCTGGGCAAGTCCTGGGTTCAGAGCCAGTGGACTTGGGATGCATGTGACCTGGTGAGACACCAGCTGGGGCAGCCAAGGGAATGCTTGTGCCACCCCTCCACCAACCCCAGATAGGAAAGCTCTCAGCTCCAGGAGACACTCTTTTGTTCTTCTTGAGGGGAGGAGGGGGAGAGTAAAGAGGACTTTGTCTTGCAACATGGATACCAGCTCAGCCACAGTAGGACAGGGCATCAGAAAGAGTCCTGAGGTCCCTATTCCAGGCCCTAGTTTCCAGACAACATTTCTACATACCATGGGCTAGTAGGGAACCTCCTGCCTTTAAGGGAAGGACCCCATCCTGGCAAGATTCATTACATGCTGACTAAAGAGCCTGAATAATCAGCAGTGGTAGTCAGGCAGTAGTCTCTGAGGACCTTGGGTGAGACTCAGGGCTGTGCTGGCTTCAGGTCTGACTCAGCACAGTCCCAGTGGTGGTGGCCCCAGGGGTGCTTATGTCATCCCTGCCCTGGCTCCAGACAGCTCAGGACACAGAGAGAGACTCTGTTTGGGGGAAAGTAAGAGAAGAGAACAAGAGTCTCTACATGGGATTTTAAAGAATTCTTCTGGATCTTATCCATGACCACCAAGGTAGTACCTCTATGGGTCTGCAAGAGCCACAATATTACTAGGCTTGGGGTGCTCCCTAATGGAGATATGGCTACAGTGACCAAAGAGTTAGATCACAATACACAGGACCCTTTGAATACTTGGAAAGTCTTCCCAAGAAGGACAGGTACAAACAAGCCCAGACAGCAAAGACTACAACAAATACCTAACTTTTTAATGCTCAGACACTGACAAACATATACAAGCATCAAGACCATACAGGAAAACATGACCTCACCAAGCAAACTAAATAAGGCACCAGTGACCAATCCCAGAGAAACAGAAATTTGTAACCTTTCAGACAGAGAATTCAAAATAGCTATTTTGAGGAAGCTCAACAAAATTCAAGATAACACAGAAGAAATTCAGAATCCTATCAGATAAATTTTACAAAGAGATCTAAATAATTTAAAAGAATTGGGCAGAAATTCTGGAGCTGAAAAATATGACTGACATTTTAAAGAATGCATCAGAATCTCTTAACAGCAGAACTGATCATGCAGAAGAAAGAATTAGTGAACTTGAAGACAGGCTGTTGGAAAATACAGAGTCAGAGGAGAAAAAGGAATAAAAAAAAGAATGAAGCACACCTACAAGATAGACAAAATAGCCTCAAAAGGGCAAACCTAAGAGTTATTTGGCCTTAAAGAGGAGGCAGTGAGAGAAAGAGAGAGAGAGAGAGAGAGAGAACAGGGTAGAAAGCTTATTCAAAGGGACCGTAACAGAGATCTTCCCAAACTTAGAGAAAGATATCAATATTCAAGTACAAGAAAGTTATAGAACATCAAGCAGATTTAACCCAAATAAGGCTACCTCAAGACATTTAATAATGAAACTCCCAAAGGTCAAGGATAAAGAAAGGATCCTGAAATTAGCAATAGAAAAGAAACAAACAAATAACATACAAAGGTGGCTGGGCATGGTGTCTCAGGCCTGTAATCCCAGCACTTTGGGAGGCTGTAGCAGGCAGATCATTCAAGGTCAGGAGTTTGAGATCAGCCTGGCCAACATGATGAAACCCTGTATCTACTAAAAATAACAAAAATTAGCTAGTCATGGTGGCACATGCCTGTAATTCCAGCTACTTGAGAGGTGGAGGCAGGAAAATCATTTGAACCCAGGAGGTGGAGGTTGCAATGAGTCGAGATTGCACTACTGCACTCCAGCCTGGGTGATAGAGCGAGACCCTGTCTCAAAAACAACAACAAAACAAAACAAAACCCATACAAAGAAGCTGTAATACATTTGGCAGCAGACTTCACATTGGAAACTTTACAGGCCAGGAGAGGGTGGCATGACATATTTAAAGTGCTGAATGAAAAAGTTTTGTCCTAGAATAGTATATCCAGCAAAAATATCCTTCAAAATCATGTTTGAAAGATATACTATTCTTTATATAATCAACAATAAAGACATTCTCAGAAAAACAAAAGCTGAGGGATTTCATCAACACCAGACCTATCCTACAAAAAATGCTAAAGGGAGTTCTTTAATCTGAAAGAAAAGGATGTTAATGAGCAATAAGAAATCATCTGAAGACACAAAACTCACTGATAATAGTAAGCACACAGAAAAACACAGACTATTATAACACTGTAATTGTCGGTGTAAACTACTCATATTTTGAATAGAAAGACTAAAAAATGGAACTATCAGATATAATAATTACAATAACTTTTCTAGACATAGAATAATAATATGTAAATAGAAACAACCAAAACTTAAAAAGCAGAGGGATGAAGTTAAAGTGTAGAGTTTTAATTAGTTGTCTCTTTACTTGTTTGTTAATTTGTTTATGCAATCAGTGTCATCAGTTTAAATAATAGGTTATAAGACATTATTTGCAAGCTTCATGGTACCCTCAAATAAAAAAAAATACAACAGACACACAAAAAAATAAAAACCAAGAAGTTAAAACATATAACCAGAGAAAATTACCTCCACTTAAAGGAAGATAGGAAAGAAGGAAGAGAAATCCACAAAACAACCAGAAAACAAATAACAAAATGGCAGGAGTAAGTTCTTACCTACCAATAACGTTGGATGTAAGTTTGTGACCAGCCTGGGCAACATAGTGAAACCCCATCTCCACTAAAAATACAAAAATTAGCTGGGCATGTGGTGCGTGCCTATAGTTCCAGTTATTCAGGAGGCTGAGGTGGGAGGATTGCTTGAACCCAGGAGGTGGAGGCTGCAGTGAGCTGAGATCATGACACTGTACTCTAGCTTGGGCAGAGTGAGACCCTGTCTCAAAAATAAACAAACAAACAAACAAACAAAAGCCAGGCATAGACTGAAAATAAAGGAATGGAAAAGATTTTCCATGCCAATGGAAACCAAAAAAGAGCAGGGGTAGCTGTATTTATATCAGACAAAATAGACTTCAAGACAGAAACTATAAAAAGAGGCAAAGAAAGCCTTTATATAATGATAAAGGGATTGATTCTTCAAGAGGATATAACAACTGTGAGTATATATGCACCCAACACTGGAACACCCAGATATAGAAAACAAATATTATTAGAGCAAAAGAGAGAGAGATAGACCCCAAACAGTAAGAGCTGGAGACCACAACATCCTACTTTCAGCATTGGACAAATCTGCCAGACAGAAAATCAACAAAGAAACATTGGACTTAATCTGCACTATAGAGCAAATGGACCTAACAGATATTACAGAACATTTCATACAATGGCTGCAGAATATACACTCCTTTCCTCAGCACGTGGATCATTCTCAAGAATAGATCATATCTTAGACTACAAAACAAGTCTTAAAACATTCAAAGAATTGAAATAATATCAAGCATCTTCTCTGACCACAATGGAATAAAACTGGAAATCAATAACAAGAGAAATTTTGGAAAGTATTCAAACACATGAAAAATAAACACTATACTCCTGAATGACCAGTGAGTCAATGAAGAAATTAAGAAAATTTAAAATTTTCTTGAAGCAAATGATAATGGAAACACAACATACCAAAACCTATGAGATACAGCAAAAGCAGTACTAAGAGCCAAGCTTATAGCAGCAAGTGGCTACATCAAAACAGTACAAAAACTTCAAATAAACAACCTATTGATGCATCCTAAAGAACTCAAAATGCAAGAGCAAACAAAACCCAAAATAAGTAGAAGGAAAGAAATAATAAAGATCAGAGCAGAAATAAATGAAATTGAAACAATAAATAATACAGAAGATCAGTGAAATGAAAAGTTGTTTTTTTGAAAAGATAAACAAAATTGGCAAACCTTTAGCCAGATTAATTAAGAAAAAAAGAGAGAAGACACAATAAATAAAATCAGAAATGAAAAAGAAGACATTACAACTGATACTGCAGAAATTCAAAGGATCAATGGAGGCTACTTTGAGTAACTGTATGCCAATAAATTAGAAAACCTAGAAGAACTGGATAAACTCATAGATACATACAACCTACAAAGATTGAACCATGAAGAAATTCAACACCTGAACAGACCAGTAATGAGTAATGATATTGAAGCCATAATAAAAGATCTCTAAGCAAAGTCCAGGATCCCATGTTTTCACTGCTGATTATTGTGAGAAATTTAGAGAAGAACCAATACCAGTCCTACTCAAACTATTCCAAAAAATAGAGGAGGAGGAGAAAACATTTCCAGACTCATTCTATGAGGCCAGCATTACTCTGACACCAAAACCAGACAAGGACAGGTTAAAAAAAAAAAAAACTACAGGCCAATATCCCTTATGAATATTGATTCAAAAATCCTCAACAAAATACTAGCAAACCAAATTCAACAGCATATTAAAAACATCATTCATCATGACCAAGTGGGATTTATCCCAGCAATGCAAGGATGGTTAACATATATAATCAATCAACCTGATAAATCATATGTCCAGAATGAAGGACAAAAACCATATAATCATTTCAATTGATGCTGAAAAAGCATTTGATCAAATTCAATATCCCTTCATGATAAAAACCCTCAAAAACTTGAGTATAGAAGGAACACACCACAACACAAAAAGGCCATATACGGTAGATCCACAGCTAGTATCATACTGAATGGGCAAAAGCTGAAAGTCTTTCCTGTAAGATCTGGGACACAACAAAGATGCCCACTGTCACCACTGTTATTCAGCATAGTAATGGAAGTCCTTGCTACAGCAATCAGACAAGAGAAAGAAATAAAGAACATCCAAACTGAAAAGGAAGAAGTCAAATTATCCTTGTTTGCAGATGATATAAGCTTATATTTGGAAAAACCTAAAGGTTCTGCCAAAAAAACTATTAGAACTGATAAACAAATTCAGTAAAGTTGCAGTACACAAAATCAACATACAAAAATCAGTAGCATTTTCCATATGCCATTAGCAAACAATATGAAAAAGATATCAAGAAAATAATCTCATTTACAATATATACAAATAAAATAAAATACCTGTAAATGAACTTCACCAAAGAAGTGAAAGATTTGTACCATGAAAACCATAACACATTAATGCAATAAATTGAAGAGAACACAAAAAAATGAAAACGGTTTGGAAGGATCAATATTGCTAAAATGTTCCTACTCCTCGAAGCAATCTACAGATTCAATGCAATCCCTACCAAAATATCATGACATTCTTCACAGAAATAGAAAAATAGGCTGGGCCCGGTGGCTCACGCCTGTAATCCCAGCACTTTGGGAGGCTGAGGTGGGCGGATCACGAGGTCAGGAGATCGAGACCATCCTGGCTATCATGGTGAAACCCTGTCTTTACAAAAAAATACAAAATATAAGCCAGGTGTGGTGGTGGGCACCTGTAGTCCCAGCTACTTGGGAGGCTGAGGCAGGAGAATGGCATGAATCCAGGAGGCGGGGCTTGCAGTGAGCCGAGATGGTGCCACTGCATTCCAGCCTGGGTGGCAGAGTGAGACTCTGTCTCAAAAAAAAAAAAAAAAAAAAGAAACAGAAAAATAAAAAAATCGAGGGGTGGAGCCAAAATGGCCGAATAGGAACAGCTCCAGTCTACACCTCCCAGTGTGAGCGATGCAGAAGACGAATGATTTCTGCATTTCCAACTGAGGTACCAGGTTCATCTCACTGGGGACTGTCAGACAGTGGGTGCAGGACAGTGGGTGCAGTGCACCAAGTGTGAGCTGAAGCAGGGCGAGGCCTTGCCTCACCCGGGAAGTGCAAGGGGTCAGGGAGCTCCCTTTCCTTGCCAAGGAAAGGGGTGACAGACGGCACCTGGAAAATTGGGTCACTCCCACCCTAATACTGCGCTTTTCCAATAGTCTTAGCAAATGGCACACCACGAGATTGTATCCTGCGCCTGGCTCGGAGGGTCCTATACCCATGGAGCCTCACTCATTGCTAGCACAGCAGTCTGAGATCAAACTGCAAGGCGGCAGCGAGGCTGGGGGAGGGGCACCCACCATTGCTGAGGCTTGAGTAGGTAAACAAAGCAGCCAGGAAGCTTGAACTGGGTGGAGCCCACTGCAGCTCAAGGAAGCCTGCCTGCCTCTATAGACTCCACCTCTGGGGTCAGGTCATAGCCAAACAAAAGGTAGCAGAAACCTCTGCAGACTTAAATGTCCTTGTCTGACAGCTTTGAAGAGAGTAGTGGTTCTCCCACCATGCAGCTTGAGATCTGAGAATGGACAGACTGCCTCCTCAAATGGGTCCCTGACCCCTGAGTAGCCTAACTGGGAGGCACACCCAGTAGGGGCAGAATGACAGCTCACATGGCCAGGTACCCCTCTGAGATGAAGCTTTCAGAGGAACGATCAGGCAGCAACATTTGCTGTTCACCAATATCCACTGTTCTGCAGCCTCTGCTGCTGATACCCAGACAAACAGGATCTGGAGTGGACCTCCAGCAAACTCCACAGACCTGCAACTGAGGGTCCTGACTGTTAGAAGGAAAACTAACAGAAAGGACATCCACACAAAAACCCCATCTGTACGTCACCATCATCAAGGACCAAAGGTAGATAAAACCACAAAGATGGGGAAAAAACAGAGCAGAAAAACTGAAAATTCTAAAAAGCAGAGCGCCTCTCTTCCTCCAAAGGAATGCAGCTCCTCACCAGCAACAGAACAAAGCTGGACAGAGAATGACTTTGACGAGTTGAGAGAAGAAGGCTTCAGACGATCAAACTACTCCAAGCTAAAGGAGGAAGTTCGAACCCATTGCAAAGAAGTTAAAAACCTTGAAAAAAGATTAGACGAATGGCTAACTAGAATAACCAATGCAGGGAAGTCCTTAAAGGACCTGATGGAGCTGAAAACCATGGCACGAGAACTACATGATGAATGCACAAGCCTCAGTAGCCGATTCCATCAACTGGAAGAAAGGGTATCAGTGATGGAAGATCAAATGAATGAAATGAAGCGAGAAGAGAAGTTTAGAGAAAAAAGAATAAAAAGAAACGAACAAAGCCCCCAAGAAATAATGGGACTATGTGAAACGACCAAATCTTTGTCTAATTGGTGTACCTGAAAGTGACGGGGAGAATGGAACCAAGTTGGAAAACACTCTGCAGGATATTATCCAGGAGAACTTCCCCAATCTAGCAAGGCAGGCCAATATTCAGATTCAGGAAATACAGAGAACGCCACAAAGATACTCCTGGAGAAGAGCAACTCCAAGACACATAATTGTCAGATTCACCAAAGTTTAAATGAAGGAAAAAATGTTAAGGGCAGCCAGAGAGAAAGGTCGGGTTACCCACAAAGGGAAGCCCATCAGATTAACAGCTGATCTCTTGGCAGAAACTCTATAAGCCAGAAGAGAGTTGGGGCCAATATTCAACATTCTTAAAGAAAAGAATTTTCAACCCAGAATTTCATATCCAGCCAAACTAAGCTTCATAAGTGAAGGAGAAATAAAATGCTTTACAGACAAGCAAATGCTGAGAGATTTTGTCACCACCAGGCCTGCCTTACAAGAGCTCCTGAAGGAAGCACTAAACATGGGAAGGAACAACCAGTACCAGCCACTGCAAAAACATGCCAAATTGTAAAGACCATCGAGGCTAGGAAGAAACTGCATCAACTAATGAGCAAAATAACCAGCTAACATCATAATGACAGGATCAAATTCACACATAACAATATTAACCTTAAATGTAAATAGGCTAAGTGCTCCAATTAAAAGACACAGACTGGCAAATTGGATACAGAGTCAAGACCCATCAATGTGCTGTATCAGGAAACCGATCTCAGGTGCAGAGACACACCTAGGCTCAAAATAAAGGGATGGAGGAAGATCTACCAAGCAAATGGAAAACAAAAAAAGGCAGGGGTTGCAATCCTAGTCTCAGATAAAACAGACTTTAAACCAACAAAGATCAAAAGAGACAAAGAAGGCCATTACATAATGGTAAAGGGATCAATTCAACAAGAAGAGCTAACTATCCTAAATATATATGCACCCAATACAGGAGCACCCAGATTTATAAAGAAGTCCTTAGAGACCTACAAAGAGACTTAGACTCCCACACAATAATAATGGGAGACTTTAACACCCCACTGTCAACATTAGACAGATCAATGAGACAGAAAGTTAACAACGATATCCAGGAATTGAACTCAGGTCTGCACCAAGCAGACCTAATAGACATCTACAGAACTCTCCACCCCAAATCAACAAAATATACATTCTTTTCAGCACCACACTACACCTATTCACAAAATTGACCACATAGTTGGAAGTAAAGCACTCCTCAGCAAATGCAAAAGAACAGAAATTATAACAAACTGTCTCTCAGACCACAGTGCAATCAAACTAGAACTCAGGATTAAGAAACTCACTCAAAACCGCTCAACTGCATGGAAACTGAACAACCTGTTCCTGAATGACTACTGGGTACGTAATGAAATGAAGGCAGAAATAAAGATGCTCTTTGAAACCAACGAGAACAAAAACACAACATACCAGAATCTCTGGGACACATTCAAAGCAGTGTGTAGAGGGAAATTTATAGCACTAAATGCCCACAAGATAAAGCAGGAAAGATCTAAAATTGACACTCTAACATCACAATTAAAAGAACTAGAGAAGCAAGAGCAAACACATGCAAAAGCTAGCAGAAGGCAAGAAATAACTAAGATCAGAGCAGAACTGAAGGAGATAGAGACACAAAAAACCCTTCAAAAAATCAATGAATCCAAGAGCTGGCTTTTTGAAAAGATCAACAAAATTGATAGACTGCTAGCAAGACTAATAAAGAAGAAAAGAGAGAAGAATCAAACAGATGCAATAAAAAATGGTAAAGGGGATATCACCACCAATCCCACAGAAATACAAACTACCATCAGAGAATACTATAAACACCTCTATGCAAATAAACTAGAAAATCTAGAAGAAATGGATAAATTCCTTGATGCATACACCCTCCCAAGACTAAACCAGGAAGAAGTTGAATCTCTGAATAGAACAATAACAGGCTCGGAAATTGAGGCAATAATTAATAGCTTACCAACCAAAAAAAGTCCAGGACCAGATGGATTCACAACCGAATTCTACCAGAGGTACAAGGAGGAGCTGGTACCATTCCTTCTGAAACTATCCCAATCAACAGAAAAAGAAGGAATCCTCCCTGATTCATTTTATGAGGCCAGCATCATCCTGATAACAAAGCCTGTCAGAGACACAACCAAAAAAGAGAATTTAGACCAATATCTCTGATGAACATTGACGTAAAAATACTCAATAAAATACTGGCAAACCGAATACAGCAGCACATCAAAAAGCTTATCCACCACGGCCAAGTTGGCTTCATCCCTGGGATGCAAGGCAGGTTCAACATACGCAAATAAATAAATGTAATCCAGCATATAAACAGAACCAAAGACAAAAACCACATATTATCTCAATAGATGCAGAAAAGGCCTTGGACAAAATTCAACAACGCTTCATGCTAAAAACTCTCAATAAATTAGGTATTGATGGGACGTATCTCAAAATAATAAGAGCTGTCTATGACAAACCCACAGCCAATATCATACTGAATGGGCAAAAACTGGAAGCATTCCCTTTGAAAACTGGCACAAGACAGGGATGCCCTCTCTCACCACTCTATTCAACATAGTATTGGAAGTTCTGGCCAGGGCAATTAGGCAGGAGAAGGAAATAAAGGGTATTCAATTAGGAAAAGAGGAAGTCAAATTGTCCCTGTTTGTAGACGACATGATTGTATATCTAGAAAACCCATTGTCTCAGCCCAAAATCTCCTTAAGCTGATAAGCAACTTCAGCAAAGTCTCAAGACACAAAATCAATGTACAAAAATCACAAGCATTCTTATACACCAATGACAGACAAACAGACAGCCAAATCATGAGTGAACTCCCATTCACAATTGCTTCAAAGAGAATAAAATACTTAGGAATCCAACTTACACGGGATGTGAAGGACCTCTTCAAGGAGAACTACAAACCACTGCTCAAGGAAATAAAAGCGGATACAAACAAATGGAAGAACATTCCATGCTCATGGGTAGGAAGAATCAATGTCGTGAAAATGGCCATACTGCCCAAGGTAATTTATAGATTCAATGCCATCCCCATCAAGCTACCAATGACTTTCTTCACAGAATTGGAAAAAACTACTTTAAAGTTCATGTGGAACCAAAAAAGAGCCCGCATTGCCAAGTCAATCCTAAGCAAAAAGAACAAAGCTGGAGGCATCACACTACCTGACTTCAAACTATACTATAAGGCTACAGTAACCAAAACAGCATGGTACTGGTACCAAAACAGAGATATAGACCAATGGAACAGAACAGAGCCCTCAGAAATAATGCCACATATCTACAACTATCTGATCTTTGACAAACCTGAGAAGAACAAGCAATGGGGAAAGGATTCCCTATTTAATAAATGGTGCTGGGAAAACTGGCTAGCCATAGGTAGAAAGCTGAACCTGGATCCCTTCCTTACACCTTATATAAAAATTAATTCAAGATGGATTAAAGACTTACATGTTAGATCTAAAACCATAAAAACCCTAGAAGAAAACCTAGGCAATACCATTCAGGACATAGGCATGGGCAAGGACTTCATGTCTAAAACACAAAAAGCAATGGCAACAAAAGCCAAAATTGACAAATGGGATCTAATTAAACTAAAGAGCTTCTGCACAGCAAAAGAAACTACCATCAGAGTGAACAGGCAACCTACAGAATTGGAGAAAATTTTTGCAATCTACTCATCTGACAAAGGGCTAATATCCAGAATCTACAATGAACTCAAACAAATTTACAAGAAAAAAACAACCCCATCAACAAGTGGGCGAAGGATATGAACAGACACTTTTCAAAAGAAGACATTTATGCAGCCAAAAGACACATGAAAAAATGCTCATCATCACTGGCCATCAGAGAAATGCAAATCAAAACCACAATGAGACACCATCTCACACCAGTTAGAATGGCGATCATTAAAATGTCAGGAAACAACAGGTGCTGGGAGGATGTGAAGAAATAGGAACACTTTTACACTGTTGGTGGGACTGTAAACTAGTTCAACCATTGTGGAAGTCAGTGTGGTGATTCCTCAGGGATCTAGAACTAGAAATACCATTTGACCCAGCCATCCCATTACTGGGTATATACCCAAAGGATTATAAATCATGCTGCTATAAAGACACATGCACACGTATGTTTATAGCAGCACTATTCACAATAACAAAGACTTGGAACCAACCCAAATCTCTAACAATGATAGACTGGATTAAGAAAAGGTAGCACATATATACCATGGAATACTATGCAGCCATAAAAAATGATGAGTTCATGTCCTTTGTAGGGACATGGATGAAGCTGGAAACCATCATTCTCAGCAAACTATCACAAGGACAAAAAACCAAACACCTCATGTTCTCACTCACAGGTGGGAATTGAACAATGAGAACACATGGACACAGGAAGGGGAACATCACACACCGGGCCTGTTGTGGGGTGGGGGGAGTAGGGGATGGCATTAGGAGATACACCTAATGTTAAATGACAAGTTAATGGGTGCAGCACACCAACATGGAGTGTGTATACATATGTAACAAACCTGCATATTGTGCACATGTACCCTAAAACTTAAAGTATAATTAAAAAAGAAAAATTAAAAAAAATCCTAAAATTTATAAGGAACCACAAAAAAACCAAATAGCCAAAGCTATTCTGAGCAAAGGGAATAAAACTGGAGGAATCACATTACCTGACTTTGAATTATACTACAGAGCTATAGTAACCAATACAGCAGCACTATCTACAACAGCCAAGATTTGGAAGCAACCTAAGTGTCCATCAACAGAGGAATGGATAAAGAAAATGTGCTACATATACACTAACATGAAAACAGACACATAGACCAAGAGAACAGAATAGAGAACCAAGAAAGGAATTCATGCATCTACAGTAATTCATTTTCAACAAAGGTGCCAAGAACATACACTGGGGAAAGGACAGTCTCATCAATAAATGGTGCTGGGGAAACTGGATATCTATGTGCAGAAGAATGAAACTAGATCCCTATCTCAACATATACAACAATCACATCAGAATGGATTGGCCAGGTGCGGTGGCTCATGTCTGTAATCCCAGCACTTTGGGAGGCCGAGGCAGGCGGATCACTTGAAGTCAGGAGTTCAAGACCAGCCTGGCCAACATGGCGAAGCCCCATCTCTACTAAAAATACAAAAAAATTAGCCTGACATGGTGGCAGGTGCCTGTAATCCCAGCTATGTGGGAGGCTGAGGCAGGAGAATCGCTTGAACCTGGGAGGCGGAGGTTGCAATGAGCCGAGATGATGCCACTGCACTCCAGCCTGGACGACAGAGCCAGACTTCATCTAAAAAAAAAAAATCAGAATGGATTAAAGACTTAAGTCTAAGACCTCAAACTATGAAACTACTAAAAGAAAACTTCGGGGAAACTCTCCAGGACATTGGTCTGGGCAAAGATTTCTTAAGTAATGCCCCACAAGCATAGGCAACCAAAGTGAAAATGGAGAAATGGAATCACATAAAGTTAAAAAGCTTCTGCACAGCAAAGGAAACAATCAACAATGTGAGAAGATAACCCATACAATGGGAGAGAATATTTGCAAATTATCCATCTGACAAGGGGTTAATAACCAGAATATATAACAAGCTCAAACAACTCTATAGGAAAGAAATCTGAGAATCTGATTTTAAAATATGTGAATAACATTTCTCAAAAGAAGACATACAAATGGCAAAGAGGCATATGAAAAGGTGCTCAACATCATTGGTCATCAGAGAAATGCAAACCAAAACTATAATGATATATAATCTCACCTCAGTTTAAAAAGTGGCTTTTTCGACAGGCAATAATGAATACTGGTGAGGATGCGGAGTAAAGGGAACCCTCCTCCACTATTGGTGGGGATGTTGATTAGTACAAGCACTACGGAGAACAGTTTGGAGGTTCCTCAAAAAACTAAAAATAGAACTACCATATGATCCAGCAATCTCACTTCTAGGTATATACCCAAAAGAAAGGAAATCAATATATCAAAGAGATATCTGTATGCCCATTTTTATTGAAGCACTATTCTCAATAGCTAAGATTTGGAAGCATGATAAGTGTCCATCAACAGAGGAATGGATAAAGAAAATGTGCTACATATACACAATGGAGTACTATTCCGCCATAAAATGAATGAGATTCTATCATTTGCAACAACATAGCTTGAATTGGAGGTCATTATGTTAAAGAAAATAAGCCAGGCACGAAAAGACAAACTTCACATGTTCCCACTTATTTGTGGGAGCTTAAAATTAAAACAATTGAACTCAAGGAGATAGAGAGTAGAAGGATGGTTACCAGAGGCTGGGGAGAGTAATGTAAGTGGGGTGGGTTAGGTGGAATGGGGATGGTTAATGGGGACAAAAATATAGTTAAGCAGAATGAATAAGATCTAGTATTTGAGCCGGGCAGGGTGGCTTGTGCCTGTAATCCCAGCCACTCGGGAGGCTGAGGCAAGAGAATGGCTTGAACCTGGGAGGCGGAGGTTGCAGTGAGCTGAGATTGCACCACTGCACTCCAGCCTGGGCAACAGAGTGAGACTCCACCTCAAAAAAAAAAAAATCTAGTATTTGATATCACAACAGGGTGACTATAGCCAACAATAATTTATTGTGCATTTTAAAATAACTGAAAGTTATTTGATTGTAACACAAAGGATGAAAGCTTGAGGTGATAGATATCCCATTCACCCTGATGTAATTATTACACATTGTATGTCTGTTTCAAAATGTCTCATGTGCCCCATAAATATATACACATACTATGTACCCACAAAAATTAAAAATAAATTTAAAAAAAGAAAAAAAGAAAAGCCTGGACTGCTTTTGAATAGTTGGTGTATAATCTCTGGAGTTATGCGGTAAGGATCGATGACATGGCAGCCAACATTCACTTCTCATGGCACACTGTGGCATGCTGCAGTGTGGTCTGATCTGACTGGATAATAGCTGGGTTGAACACAAGGGGACCCCTACATCAGCCTTGAGAGAGGGCACAATTCAAACTTGGTAGCTGGGCAGCTTGGAGGCTCTCAAACACTAAAATCTACAATCTAGACTCTAGATTGTAGAATCTAGATTCTATTCTAGAGAATAACATGAAGACCCTACAGATCCTGGTTCAAAAGGCCACTACCAACAGACACAATCCCACAAACAGAACCATAAAGAGTTAGGGACCACTGGGCCAGGGCACTGCTTTATGCGTCCAGTCTCAGCAGCTTTTCCATCACCAATTCAGACACCTCACTGAGCTGCCATTTTGGGTGAGATGGGAGGCTTCTCATTGAGTTCCCCAGTTCCTTCTTGGTATGCCTAAGTAGTACTCCCTTTTGGTCACATATCAACATTTTAAAACTTGACCTATATATCCAATCTGTGATTTCTTCTGAGTCAGTAACCATACACTGTTATTTGCTTTATATTATAATCACATTTTCCTTTTACTTTACTAAAGGATGTGGCTATGCTTAAGGAAGCAACTACCATTAAAGTATTAATTAAAAAAAAACACCACCACATTAAGTTGGCATTAAAGAAACTAATGCAAGTCATGGTTCAGGTTAGATGTCGGAATTTATCAATGCCATTCATTGAAAGACCCACCCTACTCACCCATTCTCCCTTCTGCTCATCCCACCTCCCCACAAGAAAAAAGATTGTTATAAAAATACCTCTCAGATTGCTGGTGTTGGTTGTAGTGTTCTTGTGTATCTCTGCCTTGCAATGTCATTTTAAGTCTTTTGGAGGATATATATTTTTTATTCATGGTATTATATAATTAGTAAAGGCATTTTTAAACAGTAAAAGCAAATCCAAAATTTAAAAAGTGTACATGCAAGGTTAGACAAGCTTTGAAGAGCCATAAGCAGCACAGATTGGTCACCCCTGGGCTCATGAAGTTGGATTTTAAATTTAATGACACAAAATCAACAAATATTTGGCACCAAGGAAATAAATACATCCAAGGAGCAGATGAAAATATTACATTTGCCTTCAAAATCAATCTGAAGCCACCTTAAACATTATATTTTTATGGTTTTGAAACTAAATTGCCTTTATCTTCTTTGTTCAGATTTTAAAGAATTATAATTGTACATTTTGTGAGAAAATGAATTTGTTTGACAATAGCTAACTTTTCAAAAAGGTTAATTTAGTCAACTTAACTTTTTGTTTTAAAATAGGTGTTGAGAGAGAGTATTTAAGCATACCCTCAATTTAATTTCAGTTTTAGCACCCTGAAAACTCATGTTAAAAATGAGTTTTATACAATGAGAATTTGCCATCACACAGAAATTATCACTTCCCCTGTTCCTTTTGGAGTTTTATTTCATTGTTTTATAAGCCTATCTCAATC
Organism: Homo sapiens; assembly: GCF_000001405.40. NCBI lineage: Eukaryota > Metazoa > Chordata > Mammalia > Primates > Hominidae > Homo > Homo sapiens. Next base: position 67,673 of record NW_025791761.1, on the reverse strand, counting down.
TAATTGCTTTTAATTTTTTCCCCCATAAGCTTATAGAGCAGTCTGAGACAAGGAAACTGCTACCATTTGCTGGAATTGGCAAACAGGTCATCCTAGTCCGTAAGAGCAACCCAAACCAGGTATTAAAAGAACATAATATTTTTTCTTCTTGCCAAGGGAGCCAGTAAATATTAGAAATAACATTTAAATTGAAATTCTCTGTGGACACCATTCTGATTCTTCATCCCATAATTTTTGAAAGAGAGTTAAGTCCCAGGTCATTTGAGCAGGATGGAGCTTGGCTCTTTCCTCTACTGCAGTCCTGAATAAAATGTTTTTACTGCTTTAACTGATGTTGGTTTTGCTTATCTTTGACACTAATTGGGGATTTTTTTCACTGAGTTCCTTGCATAGAGGAGATCTTTACCCTTCGAGTACTTTTAATATTAACTTTAGAAAATTTTTATACAGGTAACATATTTTCCTCGTAGAAAAATAAGAAAACACAAATGCTAGCAAAAGAGGAAGGAGGAGGAGGAGGAGGAGGAGGAGGAGAAGCCACCACCCTTAATACTAGTATTAACTAGTATTAACACATTGCTTTCAGCTTTTTTCCCCTTTGAATATATATTTTTTAAAAAATGGACCATAGATGGTTACTAGAGGTGGGGTGGGAGGGGAATGGAGAGATGCAGGTCAAGTGTACAAAGTTGCAGTTATATAGGATGAATAAAGAGACTTAAAGTACAGCATGAGACTAGTTATTCGTATTTGTAATAGTCATTCTTACACTGCTGTAAAGAACTGCCAGAGACTGTGTCATTTATAAAGGAAAGAGTTTTAATTGACTTACAGTTCTGCATGGCTGGAGAGGCCTCAGGAAACTTACAATCATGGCAGAAGGGGAAGCAGGCATGTCTTACTTGGCGATGGAGGAGAGGAAGAGAGCGAAGGGGGAAGAGCCCCTTATAAAACCATCAGATCACGTGAGAACTCATTATCACAAGAACAGCATGGGGGAAACCGCCCCCATGACCCAATCACCTCCCACGAGGTCCCTCCCTTGACATGTAGGGATTATGGCAATTACAATTGGAGATGAGATTTTGGTGGGAATACAGAGCCAAACCATATTGATATAGTATACTAACATTTTTCGAAGACAGTAGATTTAGGTGATCCTCCCCCAACCACAAAAGTAACTAAATGAGATGATGGATATGTTAAATTGCTTACTTGTAGTAATTATTTTACTATGTATGTGTATATCAAAATATCATATTATACACTTAAATTTATATAATAAAAAACAAACAACACTGGGAGGCTGAGGTGGGCAGATCACGAGGTCAGGAGATTAAGACTATCCTGGCCAACACGGTGAAACCCTGTCTCTACTAAAAATACAAAAATTAGCTGGGTGTGGTGGTGTGTGCCTGTAATCCCAGCTACTCGGGAGGCTGAGGCAGGAGAATTGCTTGAACCAGGGAGGCAGAGTTTGCAGTGAACGGAGATTGTGCCACTGCACTGTAGCTTGGCGACAAAGTGAGACTCTGTCTCAAAAAAAAAAAAAAAAAAAGGACCACAGAATAATAATGATCTAAAATCCAGAGATTTTTAAAAACTAAATAACAGAACATATTATTGTGGTTTTTAAAATCCTTATAAAGTTCACACATAATCATGTAGATAATTCAAGCAACTAAGAAAAACGTGAATAAAAAAGTAAAAGTTATTTATTCACATTTCTTTTGGCCCAGAAGCAATAAGTGTGTTTTAGTAACAATGCTTTGAAGTCTTTCTCTACAAACACAAACACTTTTTTTATTTAAATGGTATTTTATATGCATATTGCTTATAGCAAGCTCTTTTTAGTTAATAGTGTAGCTTAGAGATCACTCCATGATAACAATTATATATATATGGAATATTTTTTTTGAGACAGAGTTTTGCTCTTGTTGACCAGGCTGGAGTGCAATAGCATGATCTCGGCTCACTGCAAGCTCCGCCCCCTAGGTTCAAGTGATTGTCCTTCCTCAGCCTCACAAGTAGCTGGGATTACAGGCATGCACCACCACGCCTAGCTAATTTTGTATTTTTAGTAGAGATGAGGTTTTACCTTGGTGGTCAGGTTAGTCTCAAACTCCTGACCTCAGGTGATCCACCTGCCTCAGCTTCCCAAACTGCGGGAATTACAGGTATAGGCCACCATGCCTGGCCTATATAGAATATTTTTAAAATGCGAGTTTAATATTCCATTAGATGGGGCTAGACATGGTGGCTCATGCATGCAATCCTAGAACTTTGGGAGGGCTGAGGCAGGCGGATCACTTGAAGCCAGGAGTTTGAGACCAGCCTGGCCAACATAGCGAAATGCCATCTCTACTAAAAATACAAAAAATTAGCTGGGCGGGGTGGTGTGTACCTGTAATTCCAGCTACTCCAGAGGCTGAGACATGAGAATTGCTTAAACTTGGGAGGTGGAGGTTGCAGTGAGCTGAGATTGCACCACTGCACGCCAGCCTGAGTGACAGAGGAAGACTGTGTCTTCAAAAAAAAAAAAAAAAAAAATTCCATTAGATGGATGCAGCATAACTTACTTAGGGAATTTTTCTTAGATTTAACATATTTAATATTTTTCTATTATAGATAACACATGGCAAAAAAAAACTTGTAGCTAAACCTTTGAACATTTTCTTATGTAAATCATAGGATAAATTGCTATACACTGTTTATGGAAATCTACAGTGCCTTTGAAAGTTTGTTGTTTCTGTTGAGGTATATCCATAGCATTGACATCTCCAAGAGAGAAATAATAAGTATAAAGTTCTTGGAACAAACTATTTTTTTCTCCACCTCTGCTGCATTCTTTTTCTGCTAACTACTTATCCTCTGCTTTTTCATCTTGCTCTTGGTTCCAACTGCACCATGGTCTCAGTGCAATATCCTAATTAATATCTGTGGATTGACTAGTTGACTGGCCTCTGTCAGATCAGGTTTCTGGCCCAATAAGCAGTGGTAAGAAAGAAGAGCACAATCCTATGCATGACCTACTCACTGCCCATTCATTAGAAGTGAGGGGATTCTTTTTTTTTATTTTAGAGAAGATTTTGCTATCTTGCCTAGGCTGGAATACAGAAATGCAATGGCTATTCAAAGATATGATCATAAGAACTGTAGCCTCAAACTTTTGGCCTCAAGGGGTCCTCCTGCCTTAGCCTTCCAAGTAGCTGGGAGGGACTACAGGTGCACACCACTGTACTCAGCTGAGTGGTGGCTTCTTTTATGGGTGACTTAAAAAATTCAAAAGTATTTAGGAACCCAGGTTGTAAATCAGGAGGTGCTAAAATGATTTGAGGGATATTACAAACTGAACCAAGCCTTGGAAAAATGGTGATTAGCAAGAAACATGAGAGAGTGTTCCTGTATTAGTTAAGAAATGCAGGATTATAAGTGACAAGAACCAAATCAAAACCAGATCAAGTCAATGGTATTTATTGATTTTGACTGGAGTCAGTTTCCTAATTTGGGGAGACTAGGTTATTGGAAATCCAGAAATTAGTACATGTTGGCAAGATTTCAGATTAAGGAAGCCAATGCCTGAAGTTCTCATGGAGACCTAGAATGCTAAAATCATTCCAAAAGGAGACAGGAGGGAAAGGACAAAGGGGACAGAGAGGGAGAGGGAAGGAGGAAGGGGGAAAGAAAGAGAAAGAGAGAGAGGAAGGAAGAGGAGGGAGAAGGGTGGAAGAGAGGAAAAGGCAAAGAAAAGGAAGGAAGGAAGGAAGGAATCACTTATAAACTTTACTTGCTAGTGGAGATTTCCTTGAGTCACACCATATGCAATTCCTTATTCTGAAATCTGAGGGGTCCTTAAAGGGTGTTGGGCCTGCAGGTGCAGACTATGGTGAACAGCTGGGGTGAGGCTGGGTAGTCAGGGAATAAGAATTGAATGGATGTGAAGTTTGTGTATCAGATAATATTCATGCAAATAATTTCAATTTGGAAAAATCTGAGGTCATGATGCAATTTGCCCTTTTCAGTCCCAGATTTCTTCTGGGTTCTATGTTTGTGGCCTAGGACTACTTTTCAAGTTTGAATGAGCCCTAAAGAAATTTGGAGACCATTCAGATTCCAAAAACAAACAAATGAATCTCTTGTCATTTAATGTAACTGTGACAGGATCTCACAGATGAAATGAATCTCAAGAATTTTATTTTTGAGGGCCCAAAGAGAGCTTGGTAAATGTACAATGAGATGTAAGGAAGAGGGAAAGTCACTGAAGTTCTTCAGACATTATGGTTACCAATTATATTAAATTGGTCAGGGTGTTGGGTGTTTGCTGGAGTGAAAAGCATATTTGTTATTTTGTTATCATGATATTAAGAAAATTCACTTTTTTTTGAGACAATCTCACTCTGTCACCTGGGCTGTATGTAGTGCAGTGGTGCAATCACAGCTCATTGCAGCCTCAGTCTCCTAGGCTCAAGAGATCCTCCCACATCAGCCTCCTGAGTAGCTAGGACTACAGGTGTGCACCATCACACCCAGATAATATTTTTAATTTTTATTGGAGATGTGGTCTTGCTGTGTTGCCCAGGTTGGTCTTGAACCCCTGGCTTTAAGCAATCTTCCCACCTTGGCCTCCCAAAGTGCTGGGATTATAGGCATGAGCTACCATGCCCAGCCAGAAAATTCACTTTTAATAATATTGAGATTCAAGGTTTGGATACAAAACAAGATAGAATCATCTAAAGAATTATAACATTTTACTCTAACACTTCTTCCAGTGTTAATTTTACTGGAAAACTTGCCTCAACACCCAAAACTAGATGTTAATGGGGAAAATATTTATAACTATTTATTGATGGTATAAACCAAAAAGTATCTGAGACAGGTCTCAATCAGCTTAGAGGTTTATTTTGCTGAAGTTGAGGACACACCCAGGAAAAAGAGACACAAGCCACGGTAGGATCTGCAGCCCATACTTTTTCTGAAGACCAACCTTCCTTCCTTCCTTCCTTTCTTCCTTCCTTCCTTCCTTCTGATTCTCATTCTGTCATCCAGGCTGGAGTTTAATGGCGCAACCTCAGCTCACTTCAACCTCCGCCTCTTGGGTTCAACATCTGCCTCGCCAGTTCAAGCAATTCTCCTGCCTCAGCCTCCCAAGTAGCTGGGATTACAGGTGTGCACCACCATGTCCAGCTAATTTTTGTATTTTTTAGTGGAGACGGTATTTTGCCATGTTGGCCAGAGTGGTCTCCAACTTCTGACATCAGGTGAGCTGCCTGCCTCGGCCTCCCAAAATGCTGGGATTACAGATGTGAGCACTGCGGCCGGCCCCAAAGAGGATTTTGAAGGCTTCAACATTTAAAGGGGAAAACTGGACATGAAGGGAAAGGGGAAAGAAAAAAAGAGGGAGGGTATGGTGACATTCTTGTGAATCCACATATTGCACATGAAAAGGAGAGGGTAGAGGAATCAGTCAATTATGTATTCATTTCACAATCAGTAAATCTGTACTTTACATAAGAAAAAATAGGCTGGGCATGGTGGCTCACGCCTGTAATCCCAGCACTTTGGGAGGCCGAGGCAGGTGGATCACCTGAGGTCATGAGTTTGAGACCGGCCTGGCCAACATGGCAAAACCTTGTTTCTACTAAAAATACAAAAAATAGCCAGGTGTGGTGGCATGTACCTGTAATTCCAGCTACTCAGGAGACTGAGGCAGGAGCATCACTTGAACCCGGGAGGTGGAGGTTGCAGTGAGCTGAGATTGAGCTGAGATTGTGCCACTGCACTCTGGCTTTGGCAACAGAGCGACACTTTGTCTCAAAAAAAAAAGTAAACAGAGTAGATGAAGCAGTCAAATATGCCTTTGTCTAAAGTAGGGGAGATGATTTCTAATCTCCTCTTGTTGCGGGAATGAAGGAACTGGAGAGACCAATAGGTGGGACAGGAGGATTTTATTTAGGTGCACCAGCTCAGCGGATTTGCATCCAGAAGGCTGAGACCCAAACAAAGACAGGGCTTGACTTTTATACATGCATCTGTGGCTCGAAATGCAGTGGCGCAAAAGTGGGTTTACGGAAGCAGAACAAAGGCAGTTTATCAAACAGAGACAGGCTCATAACTCAGGCTTTCATGTGACTCTTGCTATGTGGGCCAGGTGGCTGTTATCTAGGCTTGCTCAAGATGCCTGCACAATCTTATCTCATGTCCTCCACTATGGCGCCCAGATGGCTGCAATCTAAGATTGCTCAAGCATGTCTCATGACCTCCATGGTGCTACTCAGATGAAAAACAGACTTACAGACACTAGTTACAGAAAACAGGAACCTATAAACTCATAAAAACTTGCAGAGCAGGGTACAATCACACGAGGCGGGAGGGATTCAAGGGAGAAGCTGCTCATACCAAAGGAAAGGAAGAAAATTTGTTTTTTCTTCTGTATCACCTGCTTCACTCTTGTCCTGCACCCATAGAGATAAGCTGTTAATTTTCATTTTCAGGGTCAGGGTGGGAGGTCCCCTGTGGAGGCATGTGGTCTTTTATCTGTACCTTTCAGTTTAGGAGCAAAAGGCAAGGCAGTTTTTTTGTGACTCAGTTTTCAAGCTTAACTTTTCTCTTTTGGCATAATGAATTGGGAGTTCCTACTTTTTATTTTTCTTTCACAATGAAATGATCTGAAATTCAATCTAAAGCAATGAGTTTACTGGATGTGGGGGTTGGTAGGTGACAATGTCACCTTTGAATGCCGGGTGGTTTAGAAGACTGTGTTTAAGTGTATATGTGGGTCCATTTCCAATGCAGAAATAGATACTGTAGAGGAGGAAAAAAACTCCTCTTTCACTCATCTTAAGTTCTCCAGCTGGTGCCATATAAATTAGGCTGGCTAAAGACAGATTAACAAGAAAAAAAAATAAACAGATGTTTATTAGCATATGCCTGGTGCTTACATATGGGCATATTCAGAATTGATTGACTCCATTAGGTGGTTAGAAGTTGGCTTTCTATCATCTTAGGCTTAAACAAGGAAAGAAGAGTTTTAGGCTTCTGCATGGGGGAGGAAAGTTAGGGGTAGGTGACCAGGAAAAGTATGGTAAACAAGGGTCATTGGTTTGTTATGCAGATGGAAGTACCTTCTCCATTGATAGGAGTTGTTAAGGATCCTCTTCCTCCTGGTACAGAGGGAAGCACCATTTCTATATGTAAATTGACTTTCTAAATGTAATTTCCTGGTCTTCTGGTTCTCAGCGGGCTTTAGCGCAAAATAAGCCAAATGCCAAATAGGCATATTTTAGGTTGGCATATTCTGATACTCCTCAATATTCATATGAAACTGAATATAAACTGTCTTGGAGATTGACTTTCAAATGTCCAAGAAGCTCAGCTCCAGAAGGGCTGCTACCAGAATGAGGCCTGCAGAATCTGCATTCAGAAATGTGACTGTCTTGGAGAATTAAGAGAAAGAGAAAGAGGAAAACACCAATCCAGCTATTCAAATGGCTTTTGATGTATAGGGGCTAAATTCTCACATCTGGGTGTAAATAAGTAAATATGCTAAAATAACACATCTGTAAAGTTGAGAGTTTTGTCCCGAGAATGAAACAATAAATTATAAAAAAGGGGATTTTAGTTTTAGAAATATATTATTTAGAAATATATTCATTTTAAAATACCTTTTTAATTTCTAAAGTTACTATGGATGTCTACATCCCTGTATTCCCCCCACAACCGCCTTTCTTTTTTTAAAGACATGGTCTTGCTCTGTCACCAAGGCTGCCGTGCAGTGATGCAATCATAGCTCACTGCAGCCTGGAACTCCTGGGCTGAAGCCATTCTCCCACTTCAGCCTCATGCGCCACCACAACCAGCTAATTTTTAAATTTTTCTGTAGAGATGGGGTCTCACTGTGTTGCCCGGACTGCCCTTGAACTCATGGCCTCAAGTGATCCTCCTGCCTTGGTCCCCCAAAGTGCTGGGATTATAGGCATGAGCCACCACACCAGTCATTCTTCATTTCTTATTCTGACAGACTGAGACTAAATGGAGGAGAAGAAGAATGGATGTAGTCTGGAAGTATAGCATTATTCAATTTGGCTACTTCTATGTTTAAACTGAGAAAAGAAAAATAGGTCAGAACACTTTGAGCTATCTGTGGTATGCAACATTTAACAGGACCGGAGAGACATGAGGATAGAACTTCAGTAATAATCCTGCTGCCCAACATGCCCAGGGGCAATTCTTTGAATTTTATTCTTTCTTTTCCTCTCTGTAGTTTCCTCACTAGCTGCCTCACTCATTATCTTTATGTTTCTAGAATTTGGGATACAAGGAACAATGTAATGCAAGGAACAGACCAATCAACAGCTTTTGTTATCTTAATGTAAATTCTTGGTAAACATCTTAGAAACTGCCTCTTCTTTTTTTCCTTTAAAAACTGACTTGTGGCCAGGTGCAGTGGCTCATGTCTGTAATCCAAGGAATTTGGGATGCCAAGGTGGGTGGGTCACTGGAGGTCAGGAGTTCCAGACCAGCCTGGACAACATGGTGAAACTCCATTTCTACTAAAAATACAAAAATTAGCCAGGCATGGTGGCATGCACCTCTAATCCCAGCTACTTGGGAGGCTGAGGCAGGAGAATCGTTTGAACTTCAGAAGCAGAGATTGCAGTAAGTTGAGATCGTGCCACTGCACTCCAGCCTGGGTGACAGAGTTAGACTCTGTCTCAAACAAAAATAAATAAAGGCTGGGTGCAGTAACTCACACCTGTAATCCCAGCACTTTGGGAGGCCAAGGTAGGCGGATCACCTGAGGTCAGGAGTTTGAGACCAGCCTGGCCCACACGGTGAAACCCTGTCTCTGCAAAAATACAAAAATTAGCTGGGCATGACGGCAGCCAGCTGCTTGGGAGGCTGAGGCAGGAGAATCACTTGAACCCAGGAGGCAGAGGTTGCAGTAGGCCGAGATCACGCCATTGCACTCCAGCCCCAGTGACTGAGTGAGACTCTGTCTCAAAAAAAACAAATTAAATTAAATTTAAATAAATGAATAAATAAGATATAACTTGTAACTGCTGCTAATCAGAGAATATATTCAGGGCAACTTGAATCAATGCTTCTGGGCTATACTCCTTAAACTTGGCCCAAATACACTTCCTACTTCCATTAATTTTGTATCAGTTTTTTCCTTCAGGTTGACATATGTGGTGTATGTCACCAGATTTAAAATGTCACCAGCAGGATTTAAAATGACAGACTGCCGACTATCTGGCATTCCTTCTCTGATTCAATGCTTGGTACCAGCACAAACCCACTGTGTTCTTCCAACTCCAGAGGTTTCAGTGGCCACAAAAGTTTCAGTCCTGAATCTGGATCTCCATTTCCTTTTCAGCTGAGGTCTAGATTTTATTTGGGCTGTGTTTTTCAAACCCTCTCTTTCATGGTTGGGCATGGTGCCTCACTTCTGTAATCCCAACACTTTGGGAGGCTGAGGCAGGAGGAGGGCTTGAGGCCAGGAGTTCAAGGCCAGCCTGGGCAACAGAGTAAGACCCCGTTCCTGCAAAAAAATTAAAAATTAGCCTCACTACTCAGGAGGCTGAGGCCAGAGGATTGCTTGAGCCCAGGAATTTGAGGTTACGGTGAGCTATGATCACATCATTACACTCTAACCTGGGCAAGTGAGTGAGATTCCTGTTGTCATGGAATCCTTGGGGTGTTGCTTCACCAGCCAGAAACCTCTGTGGCTAGCAGTACATTCTGCCTGAGTGTTGCTTGCACCTGCTGGGCTCATTCTGCCCACTCTGCCTGGCAGGCTGTGCTTGGCTTGCACTACCGGCCTGGATCTGACACCTGCCAAAGGCAAGCCAGGCAGGGAGTGGCGAGGGGTGTGTGGGTGAGCGAGTGCGAGGTGAGGTCACTGTGCACAGCCAGGGATGCTGGCTGCTGTGGCAGGGCAGGCAGCTCCAGGCTCTGGCACAGGTGCCAGCTCCATGTGAAGCTGTGGCTGGAACAGATGCACCACACACAGCTTCTGCTGCAGGCATCCACGTCTGGATGAGGGGAATGTGGTGGTACCCAGAAGCTTGGAGATGCCAGGAACCACACAGCCCCAAAGAGGGTGTCACAGCTCTGGCTTGGGGATCCCCTAGGTCTGGGATCCCTGAAGGGCCACAGCTTTTTTCCCCTTCTCATTGCCCACGGTGTGGCAAACAGGGAGGTGGGGCACATGTTTCAGCCCTGTTGGTGTTACAGCTCTTTCAGTCCTGCCATTCGGCGGTTCCTGAGTTCTTGTCCCACGTACAAGAAGAATGAGCTACACAGACCACTGCAGGGTGAGCAAAGTAGAGAGGAGTTTCATTGAGCGACAGAACAGCTCTCAGGAGACCCAAAATGGGTAGCTTCTTTCTGCAGGCAGGTTGTCCCATTGAGTGTCCAGCTGTCAGGAGACAGGAGACCCAGAGTGGGTAGCTCCTATTCACAGGCAGGTCGTCCTTACATCTGTCTGAGTCCAGGGTTTTTATGAGCTCAGAAGGGAGGAAATGCATGCTAATTGGCCCATGGGTGGTCATGGATGGGCTCGGAAAAAGCACCATAAGTTCTCATTCCAGGTGTGGACTCCACCTGGAAGTGGCAGACTGGCCCCCAGGCTTCAGGCCATCCCTGGCTTGAAGGTGGATAGGGACCTGCTCTTTTCTGCCCAGGAACCTGTCTACCTCCTGCTAACAACATTCCATCCATGGCACCCAGGCTTTTCATGATAAGGGGTACCTGCAGGCCCACACCGAGCTGCCCTCAGCACCCCCCACCACCTCCCTCCTGCACTCATCAGTGACCAAAGTCCAAAGGGGGCCAGGGCGGCATGTCAGCACTGCCCCAAGTGCACACACACCTGGCTGGGTCACGACAGCATCTGGCTTTGGCCACAACTTTGCTTCTGCAACAGAGTGGGCACTGAGTGCAGGGAGAGGCCAGGGAGTGAGAGCAGGCACTTCTGAGCCTGTGGGGTCAGGGGGCACTTCCTGGGCCCCCAAGAGCACAGGGATGCCTGGGTCTGGAGCTGTAGCTGGGCAGCTGCAGCTACACTCAGGGAGCACAGGTTTCCTGCCCTGCCAACTTGGAAGCGGGCAGGGCTCCTGCCTGTTTCAGCTCCTGCTGGCTCCATGGAGCATGCAGCCCTGGCAGTACTTCCCCTACTGCAGCCCGCATCTTCACAGCAGCTGCTCCAGACAGGCTGCCACTGCCATCACTGTATCTAAAAAATAAGAAAAAAGTCAAACCCTCTCTTTCCTCTAAGAGTGAGGGCTTTGGTCTCAGTGTCTGGATGGGAGATTTGGATAAACAGGTCTGCAGAGAACTGCTTTTTCTGCCTCTACCTCAGGGCAAGAAGTTCAGGTTATGGTATGGGCAGTCTGGTACCAGTAGTTACACTTGTTTTGGCCTAAAATTACATAGCATGCTTTAAAAATTGCAGCTATTGGCTGGGTGCAGTGGCATCTCTACAAAAAATTTAAAAATTAGCCAGATGCAGTGGCATGTACCTGCAGTCCCAGCTACTTGGGATGCTGAGGCAAGAGGACTGCCTAAGCCCAGGAGTTCGAGGCTACGGTGAGCTATGATGGTACTACTACACTCCAGCCTAGGGTCCAGAGTGGAAGTCCATCTCAATTAATAAATAAAGTAAAATAAAATAAAATTGCAGCTGCTATCTACTCCTTGTAATTTAGACTTGCATTTTCACTTGTGACCAATTCCTGTTAGTTTCAAACTGAAAGGTGCATAGTGTGAGTTTTCTCGCCTCCAAGAGAAGAGGCAACTGCTCCCTCTGACCCATTCAGGTGTTCTATGTGACTAGAGACTTTATAGAGGTGTCAGGAATATTGTCTGGGATGGGAAGCAGCCTCATAGGGCATTTTTCACCAGAAGAACATTTTAGGGAATCTAACTCATCAGGAAAGGTAAAAATTAAGGAATTGGTTACCCCAATACCTTGAGCACCCTACTGCCACCTGGCAGTTAGAGGCAGTCTGGGACACATAACAGAGAGAGTCTCGACTTTTGGATGACACCCTGAGGAGTGACACTCAGAAGAAGCACACTTCTCAAAGCAAAACGCATTTCTGGCCTTGGTCACTTTTGAAAAGTTCCTAAATTATGGGAATTCAAGCTTCAAAATCGGAGTGCTCTTTTAAGGGACAGCCTCCTTTAGAAACACCAGCTGGTTTTTATGTACAACACTTACAAGGCGTCCTCTTATAATATCTAGGAAAATGAACCCACATGACCCAGGATGGTCATAAGCAGCAATGGCTGAAATGAGGGTCCTTTGAAATGCCTAAGATAACTCATGTGTGTACAATTGGAAAAAGCTGGTTTTAGAATCAGACACATTGAAGGAGAACTATTCTCTGTTTGTGCTGGCTGAAATCTGATAAGAGGTTTGAATTTTTTTTTTTTTTTCAGTTCTATGGTCAGAAGTCAACTTAATTAAAAGCTGATATTTAGGCTATAATTTTTTTTGGAAAAAAGGTCTCTGCTTTTTCTATTTTGGATCCTGTTTCTGAGAATTTTTTTCAGTCAACTGAAACCCTTCGTAAAATATGTTCGGTCCCTCTGTTTGCTTGCTTTCCTGTTGACACAATTCCACTGAGAAAAATGTAAAACTTCACTGGCCTTTTAGAAAGCTTAAAACCTCCCAAATTGGCTACTCTAGGCTTGCTCTTCTATTTCCTTCTACTTCTGATCCTCTTCACTTTTGCTACTTTTAAAACCACATGAAAAAATCTAGGGGACCAGCCTGACCAAAATGGTGAAACCCTGTCTCTACTGAAAAAAAAAAAATTAGCTGGGCATGGTGTCATGTGCCTGTAATCCCAGCTACTCAGGAGACTGAGGCAGAAGAATTGCTTGAACTCGGGAAGCGGAGGTTGCAGTGAGCCAAGATCATGCCACTGCACTTCAGCCTGGGCAACAGAGTGAGATTCCGTCTCAAAAAAAAAAAATCTAGGGTAGACTTCTAGCAGCCTGGATACCCCTTGAGGAACACAGAAAAACGTGCCCCCACCCCCACACACCTCCCCTTGGGGTCCTCTCTCTCCTTTGTGGAGTCTCAAGAGGGCATAGGCAGTTTCCTCTCAGATGTAAAGCTCTGCTGTTGTTTGTATTGAGTTTCCTAATCTCTTTGGCTTTTGGGGTATGAGGGATTACTTTGTACTGTAAGAGAGAACTTAACTTTGATGGGTGTGATCGCTGGCAAGTCACTGGTAGGGAACTCCTTGTTTCTTTGCACGATCAGATAACAAAGGTGTAGTTTGAATATGTGGAGGCTGTGGAAACACTTGCCACCAAGGGATGAGAATCCCATGGAGAATGGGTGATCACAGAGTGGGCTGACTGGGGTTGGGTGACCACTGGCCTTGGGGGAATGTCTTTGTAGTGAGAAGCACTGCGGAATGTTGTGCAGCCCTGTTGCAGGGTGTTTCCCTCTATTGGGCGACCCAGAATTTGGTATAAAAATAGGATCCTTGATTCTGAAAGATCTAGATGCTCTTCCTTCTGGTTGTGCCTGCTTTTCACATACTTACATATTAGGCCCTGAAAACCGCAAATACTTTCTTTACCCTTTACACTAATGGCCTCCACCCTGAAGTCAGTAATCGAATGAAGAAAGATGCTAAATGAATAAGGCCACCATTCTAACTAAATCAGTCTCCAAAATATACCTTTCGGATATTTAGCTATTTTGAAACTCTTTGTAAAAGAAATTTATATCTATTAAGGAAATCTCCATTTGTAAGGGTATCTCTCTCTTTGCACCTAAACCATTAGACACTTTTATCACAGGGAATACATTAGCTTAAAGTTTATGTAACATACCTTACCTATTTAAGATACTTTTCCTAGCAATCTTAACTGAGCCTCTATCTATTCTCTTGTCTCAGCAAATAATGGTGTTTATATCTAAATTTTGTGCCTTTGAGATATAAATTTTCTACCTCGTTTCAGCCGAGTTGTGTCTTTGCCAATGCAAACTCAGGGTTGCCTACCTGACAATTGTTTAGGGCAATGGAATGGGTAATCAAAAGACTAAGAGTCCAAAGTAGGGAGAAAAACTTTTGAAAACTAGTGTGAACTATTAGAGTAGGCAGTTAGGCAGACATGAGCAGGGCAGAAGAGCTTCTCCCCAACCCCAGAAACATCAAGCAACCATCAGGTGATGGTCAGGGGGTTGTTAAACTGTTTCTCTAGTAATAATAATTGTTTGCAGCTGGCACCATGGAAGGACTGCCTCCCAATAGATAGAAAACACCTGAAGCTGGTGATTAGCGGCTTCCCAATAAGATCTCAGGAGTTGAGTGGGCTCAAGCATGGGCATTAAGAGGCAAATGGCGGAGTTTAACTGATATATGACCTTCCTCTAGAACACTTGACGGTTAAGGGAAAAATGTCTCAAATGAGCATGCACACAACATCAGCAAACACACTGCATAAGCAGCCCCTCCCAAGTGCTGGCTGGCCACCCTGCATGTGGACAGCCTGCTCCAAGGGAAGAATCGAGAGAGAAGAAATGCAAAACTTCCAACCATGCCAATGTATAAAACCCCAAGTCAAGGGCCACACAGGGCACTTGGATCTCTAATCTCCCACCTGGCCATCTTCCAAGTGTACTTTACTTCCTTTCGTTCCTGCTATTAAATTTTTTTTTTTTTTGAGATGTAGTCTCACTTTGTTGCCCAGGCTGGAATGCAGTGGCGCAATCTCAGCTCACTGCAACCTCTAACTCCCAGGTTCAAGCGATTCTTGTGCCTCAGCCTCCTGAGTAGCTGGGATTACAGGCACGCGCCACCATGCCTGGCTAATTTTTGTATTTTTAGTAGAGACGGCGTTTCACCATGTGGGCCAGGCTGGTCTGGAACTCCTGACCTCAAATGATCTGCCCGTCTCAGCCTACCAAAGTGCTGCTGCTGATGATGATTATCTTGTACGGTCAAAGTTGATTGAGATTGGATCAATCATTATTTCCATTGTGCAAACCACCCTCGGTCTTCCAGAATGGTGGAATGCACAAATGGAATAATAAAAGATCAGTTGGAAAGGTTTAAAGAAACGTTTACCCTTCCCTGGCCTAAGGCTCTTGCATTTTCTTTTCTTTTCTTCTTTTTTTTTTTTTTTTTGAGACAGGATCTCACTTTGTCACCCATCACCCAGGCTAGGTTGCAGTGGTGCAATCTCAGCTCACTGCAGCCTCAACTTCCTGGGATAAAGTGATCCACCCACCTCAGCCCTCCAAGCAGCCAGGACTACAGGCATGCATCATCACACCCAGCTAATTTTTTATAGAGACAGGATTTCACCACGTTGGCCGGGCTGGTCTTGAACAGCGGAGCTCAAGTGATCCACCTGCCTAGGCCTCCCAAAGGGCTAGAATTGCAGGCATGAGCCATCATGCCCGGCCTCTTCCACTTTCTTAACTTACGTTCTACCCTATTTGGAAAACAGCACCTTTCTCCATTTGAAATAATAACTGCAAGGCCCGTGCACCTGGTTGAAGGAGCCTACAAACCAGCTCTCCTCAAATGTGATGTTCCTCATTTTTGCCAAGGCCTTATAAGCTTCTGGTTAACATTTCTAAATTAGTTAAGGATTCTTTCAACATTGAGCTCCTGGGAGAGGAAGACATCAGAGATCATGGCCTACAACCCGGAGATTTTGTTTACTGGAAATGACATCAAATAAAAGCTTCTCTCCAACCCCATTGGAAGGGACTATATCAGATATTGTTAACCAATCCTTGTGCAGCCAAACTCAAGGCCATCTACTCATGAATTCACATTTCTCATTTTAAAAAGTTAGCCCTACCTGAGCAGACATCTTCCATCACTGGAGAAGATCTCCAACTGGAGCTGACCTGCAGCTAGTCACCCTGTTCTACAGACCAGGATGAAAAGTAGAAATTCAGTTAGAAAGAATCACCCAAAAGACTAAATGGCTACAAGACATTAGAAAGACCAAACCCCTTACATGATTTACTTGATTGGTTACCTTAAGAAATAAAAACACCTTTCAGATCTAGATTTCAAATTGTTTGTTAATAATTGTCCTTATTTGCATCATATTGATACAGAACAGCTGGGCTCCCAGCTAAACACCACCCTCAAGCCTGAACCCTCAGCCCTAAGTAAAAACAGCTGGCCCTATTTTTCTGCCCAAGTGATTGCCTTTTTTGCCTGCCATTCCCCTATCCTGTGCCCATAAAAAGACTTCAGCTGGAAGAGCAACACAAGCGGCTTATACAAGTGGTTGGGGATGCAAGCTGCTGAACATTGGAGATATGTGCAGCTGAGCATCAGGGATCCATGCAGCTGAGTGTCAGAAATTACGAATAGACGCTGCTAACTTCAGACAGTGCAGCTTCAGGGAAACATCACCTTCTTCCCACACCATCCCCTTTCAAATTCCCCATCCTACTGAGAGCCACTTTTATCGCCCAATAAATATTCCAAATACACTATCCTTCAAATAGTTTGTGTGACCTGATTGTTCCTGGACACTGAACAAGAACTCAGGTGTCAAAAAAGGCAGGTGTAGGAGGCTGTCACCCTGAGCCTTCACTGAGCTGTTACACTTAGCCATCCATGGACTGCAGGCTGAGTGAAATGAGCCACTCTAGTTCCTGTCCACAAAGAGGGTCAAAGTCAGGGGAAAAATCCCATCTCAATATTTTTGGTTCTTAAGTTGATTATGCTTTGTATTTCTAGATGTCTTAACATCAAGAAAGAAATGATCCAACATGCTGTGGCTCCTCTGTAAGTGGATGGCCTAGATCTTGTTGCTCTGTCCCTTTATGTTGCCAGTCAATTCAGCCTTGAGACCTCTCTAAATTCTTAAGTTTAAAATTTCAAATTTTTTTATTTTATATTTTTGTGTAGAGATGGGGGTCTTGCTATGTTGCCCAAGCTAGTCTTGAACTCCTGAGCTCAAGTGATCCTCCCACCTCGGCCTCCCAAAGTGCTGGGATTACAGGTGTGAGCCACAGTGCCTGGCCATCACTAAATTCTTAAGCCATAAGTACCTGTCCTCTTTCCCTCAGACATGGGATGAGATTACCTGGGAATGAGCCTTCCCAATGACATGAGACAAACATCTAAAATTTTGGTCATCGATGCCTTCAGAAGAGAAAAATTTTGATCAAAAGGGGGAAATGAGAAAAGAAAGAACAATGTTTAGCCAATCAATACCTTATGTTACCTTAGTGTAAATTCTTGATAAACAACTTACAAACTGCCTCTTCTCTTTTCCTTTAAAAACCCACTTGTAACTACTGCTAATTGGAGCATATATTCAGGCAACTTGAATCTGTGCTCCTTGGTTGCAGTCCTCAAACTTGGCCCAAATAAACCCTCTACTTATGTTAATTTGGCCACAGTTTTTTCCTTTAGGTCAACAAAGCTATTCTCCAGAAAGCAATACAGATATACAATTTGACCTCTGGTTTCATTATTCTACATGTTTATATTTCTTTTAATAATATATTTGTTTTTTGTGTGCCCAGGCAAATAAATTCAGACTTTGTTTTTAAAAAGCAGCAACAAGCCTGGGTGCAGGGGCTCATGCCTGTAATCCTAACACTTTGGGAATCCAAGGTGGGAGGATCACCTGAGACCAGTAGTTCAAGACTAGCCTGGACAAGACAGTGAGACCCCCCAACTCTCTACAAAAAATAAAAAAATTAGCTGGGCATAGTGGTGCAATGCCTGCAATCCCAGCTACTCAGGAGGCTGAAGCAGGAAGAGAATTGCTTGAGCCTGGGAGTTCGAGGTTGTAGTGAGCTATAATTATAACACTGCACTCCAATCTGGATGATGGAGTAAGACTGCTTCTCAAAAAACAAACAAAAACACCCCACAACAACAACACTGTATGATTAAGGAAAATGTTTGGATGGTAAAATGAAAGCAATAACCTAAACCAAGGTTATCATTTATTTGAAAAGTATTTGTTGAACTTCTACTGTATGGCACTATGATAATTAGTCTATCAACTTGAATAAGAAAATGTGGTAGTGGGCAGAGCACAGTAGCCCACACCTGTAATCCTAGCAGTTTGGGAGGCCAAGGCAGGAGGATTGCTTGAGGCCAGAAGTTTGAGACCAGCATGGACAAAATGACGAGATGCTATCTCTACAAAAAATTTAAAAATTAACCAGGCATAGTGGCAAGCACCTGTAGTCCCAGCTTCTTTGGAGGCTCAAGTGGGAGCATTGCTTGAGCCCAGGTCATTGAGGCTGCAGTGAACCATGATCACACCACTACACTCCAGCCTGAGCAACAGAGTGAGACCCTATCTCCAAGTGAAAAAAAAAAAAGAAAATGTGAAATGTGGAAGTCCTTGCAATATTAGTGTGGACTCTCAAGGTTAGTTTAAAAGGATAGAAATACCATTCAAACCAGCTCAAGTGATTAAGGACATTTACTGGCTCATGTTACTGAAAAGTTTGAGAATTGCTTCGGGCACTGCTGGATCCAGAGGCTCAATGTCCTACCTGTCTTTCTATCTCTAGACTGCCTTCCTCTGAAGGACTTAGATGAACTAGAAAAGAAACTGACAATTCAGAGACTCTAAGGCATTTCCAATCACCATTAAGGAAAATTTCCCTTGAGATTTATGTCTCTTGGTCCCACTTTGTCTTTAGAATTAAGGAATTGAACTGTGATTTGCAAGGTTCCTTCTGGCTTCAACATTTAGATTTAGCAAACAAAAATACAGGACACACAGTTAAGTTTGAATTTCAGGTAAACAATGAGTAATTTTTTAGTGTAAGTATGTACCAAATATTGTATGGTACATTTTTACACTAAAAAATTGTTTGAAACATGAATTTTATTGTTCCAATATTATTACTCATACAGCAATAGTTACCACTAGTGGTTTTGGTGTGAAATAGCTGTCATTCAGTAAAATATTGTTCCTTGAAGTTATCCTGAAACTTAAATATGTATAAATGTGACATTAATAAGTGCTTTTACAGGTTTTTCATCTGTCGAACAAGACTAATCATATAAAATTTGCGACTCTCCCACAAATGTGGGGTTGACAGAGTTAAAGTCCTCAGGACTTCTTGAAAGTAAATAAAAACAAATATAGATTTTGATTATTATTGCTACTTTTATAGCTGATATTTCTTTTTTAACACATTAACTTCCCTCCACTGAGCAAACTGCTCAGTTGTTGGAAGGACTCATGTCATCATCCCTCTTTTCTCAATGTGTCTTGCTGCTGTTGAGCTAAACAATTCTTTAGCTCCCAGGGTGCTTATTTAATAAATGATGCTGTGAAGTTCCCAAAGAAAGACTTTCAATTTCCCTCTTGTGTGATGGCTGTGATCAAGCTGCAGCACCCTGTGGTCTGCATCAATGGAATATATGCTTGGAACTCATTCACTAACTTGCTTTCTGTATTTAATCTGTTAAGTTCCGTAAACGGTAGAAATACCTGATGCTTTTCTTCTTCTCTTGATAATTTTCTCCTCTACTTTTCCTCAAATTGGGAAATAAAGGTTAACTGCTGTATATTTTTGAGCTAATTTTCTCTTTCACAGGATGCTTGAAAGTAAAGTCATCAGTATTTTAAAATGCATACACACACCATCCTGTAGCTGATTCTACAATTTCAGCTCATCAACTATTTTTTTTTAATTTTTTATTTATTATTATTATACTTTAAGTTTTAGGGTACATGTGCACAATGTGCAGGTTAGTTACATATGTATACATATGCCATGCTGGTGTGCTGCACCCACCAACTCGTCATCTAGCATTAGGTATATCTCCCAATGCTATCCCTCCCCTCCCCCCAGCCCACAACAGTCCCCAGAGTGTGATGTTCCCCTTCCTGTGTCCATGTGTTCTCATTGTTCAATTCCCACCTATGAGTGAGAATATGTGGTGTTTGGTTTTTTGTTCTTGTGATAGTTTACTGAGAATGATGATTTCCAATTTCATCCATGTCCCTACAAAGGACATGAACTCATCATTTTTATGGCTGCATAGTATTCCATGGTGTATATGTGCCACATTTTCTTAATCCAGTCTATCATTGTTGGACATTTGGGTTGGCTCCAAGTCTTTGCTATTGTGAATAGTGCCGCAATAAACATACATGTGCATGTGTCTTTATAGCAGCATGATTTATAGTCCTTTGGGTATATACCCAGTAATGGGATGGCTGGGTCAAATATCAACTATTACTTACACTCAAGCTAGAGTGTAAATAGCTTATACTCAAGCTAGAGTGTAAATAGCTTATACTCAAGCTAGAAGTTGAGTATAAATAATAGTTGATGAGCTGAAATTGTAGAATCATGGAATTATTAGAGAATTTTGAGATTAAGTCAGATTTCTTCCTTTCACAGGTAAGAAAACTGAGGCTCAGAGAGATTACATGCTATAGCCAAGATCACACAACCCAGGTGACACTAAACTGGGGCCCTCCATGAACCAAATCCAGCCCACCACTACCTGTTTGTGGAAATAAAGTTTTATTGCAACACAGTTGCTCCCATTTGTTGCATTGCCTATGACTGCATTTGTACTATAATTACAGAGTTGAGTAGTTGCGAGAGAGACTATCTGGCCCACAAAGCCTAAAATATTTACTATCCAGCTCTTTAAACAGGTTGCCCAACCCCTCTCTAGGCCTCCGGAGTCCTCTGCCTCCAGCTAGAAGAAGGGGAACAGGCATGGAGAAGTATACATGAAGCAGGGACTGGGGAGGTGGTAGGGACAGCCAGGCCTGGAGTGAGGCACATCATTTCTGCCCATGTTCCACTGACGAACATGAGTCACATGGTTTCACTTGGTTGCAAGGGCTGAGAGATATAGTCCTTTGAGACGCAGTCCAGAGTAGCTGATTCCCAGTGCAATTCTACCCCCTGGAAGTGGGAGCATGGCTTCTGATAGGTAGCTAGTTTTCTGGAGCACAGGTGGTCAGCACCCTGTTAGTCTCCTGTAGCATAATAGACACATTTGGTAGGTATCTGCTCAGCACATGGCCCCCATCTCCAAGAACTGCAGAGTCTCAGAGGATGGGGCCCTGTGGCTGTGTCTTTATTATCTGACCCCACCAGTTGTCACAGATCATTACTGAATTAAAGAGCGACACCTAGTTCAAAGTATCCCTCCAGAGATTCTGGTCAGATACTAAGAGATGCTTGTCAGTCTCTGGGTTTGAAAAAAAAATGTTCTTCATTTACTAAGCACTTTAACTAAAATGATATACATATACTCTCACTAGAGACAATGTTTTGTTTTTAATCTATTCCAAAATTTTATATATTACTGGGCCTTTTTTCCCAGAAATAGTTTTTTAAGCCTTAAAGACTTAAAACAGACTGATGTTTTACATTCTGACCTCTATGTTATGCCCTTCCTCCAACCCCTCTTCATTGAAAGAAAGCTACTACACCGATCCCTTGGGTTGTTTTGTGTGCGTGCATGTGTGTGTTTATCTTTAAATATTTAGGGAGTACAAGTGCAGATGTCTCACATGCATCTATCGTGTCATGGTGAAGTCTTGGCTTTTAGTGTATCCATTACTCAAATAGACAAGATTGCACCCAACAGGTGATTTTTCAACTCTTACCCCCTCCCAATCTCCCACCTTTTGGAGTCTCCAAAGTCAGTTATTCCAGTCTGTATGTCCATGTGTACTCATTGTTCAGCTCCCATTTATAAGTGAGAACATGCAGCATTTGACTTTCTGTTTCTGAGTTATTTCACTTAGGATAATAGCCTCCAGTTCCTTCCATGCTGCTGCAAAAGACATGATTTCATTTCTTAAAAATTATTTTATATTTTGCCATCATTTTCTTTGTGATGGCCAACTTCATTCTTTTTTATGACTGGGTAGTATTCCATGGTGGGTGTAGGGGTGTGGGGGTGTGTGTGTGTCTGCATACAATACATTTTCTTGATCCAGTTCTCCACTGATGGACACTTAGGTCGATTCCATATTGTATTTCCATTCTTGCATTGTTATAAAGAAAAACCTGAGACTGGGTAATTTATAAGAAAAGAAACTTAATTGGCTCACAGTTCTGCAGGCTGTACAGGAAGCATAGTTTTGGCATCTGCTTCTAGGGAGGCCTCTGGAAGCTTTTACTCATGGCAGAAGGTGAAGCAGGAGCAGGCACATCATGTGGCAAGAGTGGGAGCAGGAGCTAGTGCAGGGGGAGGTTCCACACACTTTTAAATGACCAGATCTCATGAGAACTCACTCATTATTGCAAAGACAGTGGCAAGCCATCAGAAATCCACCCCCATGACCCAAACACCTCCTACCAGGCCCCACCTCCAGTACTGGGGATTACAATTCAACGTGAGATTTGGGTGGGAACAAATATTCCAAATATATCACATATCTTTGCTATTGTGAATAGTGCTGTGATAAACATACAAGTGCAGGTATCTTTTTGATATTAATATAAAGATTTATTTCCCTTTGGGTAAATACCCAGTAGTGGGATTGCTGGATTGAATGGTAGTTCTATTTTTAATTCTTGGAGAAATCTCCACACTATTTTCCATAAAGGTTCTACTAATTTACATTCCCACCAACAGTGTAAAAGTGTTCCTTTTTTTCCACATTCTTGCCAACATCTGTTGTTTTTTTGACTTTTTAGTAACAGCTGTTGTGACTAGTATAAGATGGTATCTCATTGTGGTTTCAGTTTGCATTTTTCTGATGATTAGTGATGTTGAGCATTTTTTCATAAGATTTTTGGCTGCTTGTATGTCTTCTTTTGAAAAACGTCTGTTCATGTTCTTTGCCCACTTTTTTTTTTTTTTTTTTTTTTTTTTTTTTTTTTTTTTTTTTTTTTTTGAGACAGGGTCTCGCTCTGTCACCCAGGCTGGAGTACAATAGTATGAACATGGCTCACTGTAGCCTCAACCTCTCTCACCTCAGCCTCCCAAGTAGCTGGAACCACAGGTGCATGCTCCCACACCTGGCTAATTTTTTACCATTTGTAGAGATGAGGTCTCACCATGTTGCTCAGGCTGTTTGCCCATGTTTCTTTTTTTTTTAAATTTAATTTATTTATTTTTGAGATGGAGTCTTGCTCTGTCATCCAGGCTATAGTACGGTGGTGCAATCTCGACTCACTGCAACCTCCACCCCTGGGTTCCAGTGATTCTCCTGCCTCAGCCTCCCAGGTAGCTGGGATTACAGGCACACACCACCACACGTAGCTAATTTTCGTATTTTTAGTAGAGGTGGGGTTTCACCATGTTGGCCAGGCTGGTCTCGAACTCCTGACCTCAGATGATCCATCGGCCTCAGCCTCCCAAAGTGCTAGGATTACAGGCATGAGTCACCGTGTCCAGTCTGCCCATGTTTCAGTGGGGTTTTTTCTTGTTGAGCTGTTTGACTTCCTTGTAGATTCTGGATATTAACACTTTGTCAGATGCACAGTTTGCAAATATTTTTTTCCCATTTTGTAGGTTGTCTGTTTACTCTGTGGATTGTTTCTTTTGCTGTGCAGAAGCTGTTGAGTTTAATTATGTCCCATTTGCCTATTTTTGTTTTTGTTGCATTTGCTTTTGAAAACTTGGTCATAAATTCTTGCCTAGGTCCAATGTCCAGTTTTTCCCAGGTTTTCTTCTAGGATTTTTATAGCTTCCAGTCTTATGTTTAGGACTTTAATCCATCTTGATTCAAATTTTTGTCTGTGATGAGATGCATAGGTCCAGTTTCATTCTCCTACATACAGCTATCCAAATTTCCCAGCACCATTTATTGAATAGAGTTTCCCTTCCCTATTGTCTATTTTGTCATCTTTGTCAAAGATCAATTGGTTGTAGGCATGTGGCTTTATTTATGGGTTCTCTATTCTGTTCTATTGATCTATATGTCTGTTTTTATAACAGTGTCATGCTGTTTTGGTTACTATAGCCTCATAGTATAATTTTTTTTTTTTTTTTTTTTTTTGAGATGAAGTCTCACTCTGTTGCCAGGCTGGAGTGCAGTTCCACAATCTCAGCTCACTGCAACCTCTGCCTCCTGGGTTCAAGCTATTCTCCTTCCTCAGCCTCTGGAGTAGCTGGGACTACAGACGCGTGCCACCACGCCCAGCTAATTTTTGTATTTTTAGTAGAGACGGGGGTTTCACCATGTTGGCCAGGATTGCCTCGATCTCTTGACCTTGTGATCCGCCCGCCTCAGCCTCCCAAAGTGCTGGGATTATAGGCGTCAGCCACTGTGCCCGGCTGCCTTGTAGTATAATTTGTAGTCAGGTAATGTGAGGCCTCCGGCTTTATTCTTTTTGCTTAGGATTGCTTTGGCTATCTGGGCTCCTTTTTAGTTCCATATGAACTTTGGAATTGTTTTTTCTCATTCTGTGAAAAATGATATTGGTAATTTGATAGGGATTACATTAAATCTGTAGATTGCTTTGGGCAATATAGTCATTTTAACAGTATTCGTTCTTCCAATCCATGAGCATGAGATGTCTTTCCACTTCTTGGGTCTCATCTACTATTTCTTTCATCAGTGTTTTATAGTTCTCTCTATAGAGCTCTACCATCATTGATATCTGTCTATCTTTTGTAGCAGTTGCTTGTTTCAATTTCTTGACATTGCTTTTGTAGGGAAATTTTTTCCTGAGTAGTATGTATGTTGTCGGCTGAGTAGGATACTTTGGCTTTTATTTTGGATGCCTGAAATAGTGTAATCTTTGTACAACTTCTTCAGCAGTGCACAGGGCCACTGGTATATATGATTTCCTCAGTGGCTTAGGGAACACTTACTAGTTGAAGTTGTGATAGTTTTGCTGGGGACTTGGACACCAACTGAACCAGTCTCCAGGCCCTGGTGTTGGCAGCAACGGGGTGAATGTGGCTGTTTTTAGACTCTAGAGCAGCTTACACTGGCTCTGATGTTAGTTAGTCCTGGAGGGCTGAGTTTTGGGCCAATCTCCAGTTGGCTTGCTTAGAAGCTAGTAGTGGGAGTGGTGGGCTAGGTAGTGGGTGGATTCTCAGGCAGCTGGTGTGGTGTGGGTGATGGCGGTACTGTAACCCACAAGGTCCCAACTGGTCTGTGTTGGTGTTCCTGGTAGCTCAATGTGTTGAGCAGGCTAGTCTCCAGCCCTGCAGCCACCCATACCAGTGTGGTGGGTATTGTCCTAAGTGTGCTTGGGAGAGCATGTTCTCATCTGCCCCTCCCCTGGCTTAGTGGTGGCTACAGCTGTGTCACCTCACACTTGGCCCGAGGATGGGACACAACCCAGTGGGGAAACTCTGAAAATGGTGCTAGCTGTGGGCTTGTGATCAGAGAGGGCAAGGCCCTTCTCAGGTGAGCAGCATGAGCAAGAAGCTGTGGGGAGTGTGGTCTGCTTGAATGTTAGTCTCACAGCAGCAGGGCAGTGGGTATCGTCCTAGGTGTATGTAGGAGAGCTTGGTTTCCTTGTCCTTCCTTGGCCAGGCAGCAACGGCAGCCATGTAAACTTGAATTTGGCCTGAGGGTGGGATGCAGCCCAGCATTAAACCCTCAAAATGGCACATTGGGCCTGTAACCAGAGGCAGAGTATCTCCCAGGCAGGCAGCGTGGGCAGGACACTGTAGGGAGTGCTGTCCACTAGCACTTCAGTTCCACAGCAGCCCATTGCAGGGTAGTAGGTGTTATCTTAGATGTACATAGGAGGGCTTGGATTCTCTGGCTTTCCTTGGCTGGGTGGTGGCTTGTATTAATCAAATTTGTGTTGCCATAAAGAAGTACCCGAGGCTGGGTAATGTATAAAGAAAAGAGGTTTGGCCAGGCACGGTGGTTCACGCCTGTAATCCCGGCACTTTGGGAGGCTGAGGCAGGCGGATCACTTGAGGCCAGGAGCTCGAGACCAGCCTGGCCAACATGGTGAAACCCTGTCTGTACTAAAAATACAAAAATTAGCCATGTGTGGTGGTGCGTGCCTGTAATCCCAGCTACTTGGGAGGCTGAGACGTGAGAATTGCTTGAACCTGGGAGGCAGAGGTTGCACTGAGCTGAGATCACACCACTGCACTCCAGTTTGAGCAACAGAGGGAGACTCTGTTTCAAAAAAAAAGAGAAGAGAAGAGAAGAGAGAAGTGAAGTGGTTCATTTGGCCCACGGTTCTGCAGGCTATACACAAAGCATAGTGCCAGCATCTACATCTGGTGAGAGCCTCAGGAAGCTTACAATTGTACGGAAGGTGAAGGGGAGCCAGTGTGTCACACGGCGAGAGAGGGAGCAAGGGAAGGAGGGGGAAAGGTGCCAGGCTCTTTAAACAACCAGCTCTTGATTGAACTCACAGATCAAGAACTCACTCATCACCAAGGGGATGACACCAAGCCGTTTATGAGGGATCCACCCCCATGACTCTAAAACCTCCCACCAGGATCCACCTTCAATATTGGAAATCACATTTCAACGTAATAGTTAGAGGGGACAAACATCCAAAGCGTATCATGGCGGCAGCTGAGTCAGCTCAAACTGGGCCTGAGGGCAGGGTGCAACCCAGCATTAAACTCAAAATGGCACCTTGAGCCTGGGACCAGAGAGGGTGGCGTCCCTCCCAGGCAAGTGGCTTGGGCAGGCACTGTGGGAAGTGTGGTCCGCTCATGTCTCAGTCTCAACAGCAGCCCATTGCAGGGTGGTAGGGACCCTCCCAGGGGTGTGTGTGAGTGCCCAGGCTCCTGTCCCTCTCCTTGGTGCAGTGCAGTGGCAACAGCCATGTCTGTAGATCCCCAGCATGTAGGCTCTCAATATGGCACCTGGCTGAGGCTGCTCTAGGCTAGGGTGCCTGTGAGATTCTGTGTGGGTTCCCATTCTGGAGCAACATCTCTGTGCAATCTTCAGGCAGCTCCGTATGTCAGACCCAAGGCGCTAGCTAATGAGTTGAGGGTTTCTCTTATAGCCAAGATTGTAAAAGCTGAGCCCTGGGGTTTCACTCTTAGTCTGTTTACCAACGTATAGAAGATTCCTGGCTCACAGGCAGTCCCTGGCCAGGCAAGCTGCCTTGAACCCTCTCCTTACTTCTGGTGCTTCCCATCTCTTCTCTGGTGAATCCCAGCACTCTTTGCTGGGTGGTCTGTATGAAATCTATCTACTTACTATTCTGGTTCCTCTCTGAGGAGGAGGCACACACTACCTGCATCTAGGCAGCCATTTTGATCTCTCGTCTCTGGGCCTTTTAAAATAATACACATAGTTTATTAGGCTAGGAAAGGAGTATAGCATCATAAAGATAAAAATTCACAAAATTTTAATAGTAAGTCAAAAGATTACTATCTTAATATTCTCCAGTGCAATATAAAATGTGAGCATAATGATATTGTAAGCATTTTAGTAGGGAAAACATAAGCACAGAAGCTGTGGAGCAACCACCCCACAAAATTGAGCCCCCACAGAAAGGCATAGAAAGCTATACTGCAGCATGAGCAAAGAATGAAGCAGGTACAGAGAAGGGTAGAGTCAAAAGAGATGAAATGGCTCCATGAGGAAAGGAGCTCCTGCTAGTTTTTGAGCTCCTGGTTCTAGTTCTGCATGAAGCCCATCTGTGCTTCCTAACTTTGAGAATTTTAAGACACTCACTACTCTAGTGGACAGATATGGTTTTGTCTACACTGCAGCCCTTTTTTTTCTTTTTCTTTTTTTTTTTTTTTTTTGACATGGAGTCCTTCTCTGTCACCCAGGCTGGAGTGCAGTGGCGCGATCTTGACTCATTGCAACCTCTGCCTCCCAGGTTCAAGCAATTCTCCTGCCTCAGCCTCCCGAGTAGCTGGGATTACAGGTGCACGCCACTGTGACTAGCTAATTTTTGTATTTTTTTAGTAGAGACGGGGTTTCACCATGTTGGCCAGGCTGGTCTTGAACTCCTGACCTTGTGATCCACCTGCCTTGGCCCCCCAAAGTGCTGGGATTACAGGTGTGAGCCACCGTGTCCGGCCTCCTTTCTTTATTTGGGAGAACAACTCCTTCACCACCCTTGATGAGTTCTAATATGTAATGACATGGCCTTGCTTTTTTGTCTACAGTGACAGATACAAAGGAGAGGCACATGACCCAAGCCAGGACAATCAGAGTCTTCGGGGATGTTTTGAAATAGAAATGAGAGAACAAAGTTCTTTTCTCCAAAGAATGGGTCATCAAACTATGCCTTGGCCAAATTCAGCCCACTGCCTGTTTTGCTTTTGTTTTTTGAAATATTAAAGTAGGGAGTTCCCCATCCCCACCACCTAGCTTCACCTAGTGATAGCATCTTATGTAACTGTATAGTAGTACATGATCAGCACCATGAAATTGACACTGGCACAATACAATTAACTTGACCACAGGCCTTACGCAGATTTCACCAGTTTTTCACTCTATGTCTTTGTATATAATTCTATGATATTTTATCATAGCTATAGAATTATGTAGCCCACATCACAATTAAGACAAAGAACTGTTCCGTCACTTCCTCTACCCTATTATACTCACACGCTCCCCTCCTCCTTCCCTAGTGTTTGACAACCACTGATCTGCTCTTCATCTCTATAATTTGGCCATTTCAAGAATGTTATATAAATGGGATCATAGAGCATGCAGCATTTTGAAACAGGCTTTTTTCTTTCTAAAAAAATTTTTTTTTGTGCTGGGTGTAGTGGCTCACGCCTGTAATCCTAGCACTTTGGGAGGCTGAGGCAGGCGGATCACGCAGTCAAGAGATCGAGACCATCCTGGCTAATACAGTGAAACCCTGTCTCTACTAAAAATACAAAAAATTAGCCGGGCATGGTGGTGGGCGCCTGTAGTGCCAGCTACCCAGGAGGCTGAGACAGGAGACTGGTGTGAACCTGGGAGGCGGAGCTTGCAGTGAGCTGAGATCGCACCACTGCACTCCAGCCTGGGTGACAGAGCAAGCCTCCATCTCAAAAAAAAATAAAAATTGAGACAGGGTCTTGTTTTGTTGCCCAGGCTGGTTTCAAACTCCTGGCCTCAGGTGATCTGATCCTCCCACCTTGGCCTCCCAAAGCACTGGGATTACAGGCATGAGCCACCACACCCAGCCAAAACTGGCTTTTTTCACTCGGCATAATGCCTTTGAGAGCCATTTAAGCTGTCATATGTAATGACAGTTCATTCCTTTTTCTTTCTGAGTAGTATTCCATTGTATGGATGTACCACAGTTTAACCATTCACCTGTTGAAGGACATTTAGGTTGTTTCCAGTTTGAGGTTATTACAAATAAATATGTGTACGCAAGTTTTTGTGTGAATATAAGTTTTCATTTCTCTGGGATAAATGCTCAGGAATGTAATTGCTGGATCACTTGGTAAATATATGTAGAACTTTTTAAGAAATTGCCAGACATAGTTCCACAGTGGCTGTATCATTTAACATTCCCACCAGCAAAGTATGAGCAATCCAGTTTCTTTGCATCCTTGCTAGCATTCAGTACTGCCGATGTTTTTATTTTAGTCATTCTACTAGGTGTGTAATAGTATGTCATTATGGTTTTAATTTGAATTTCCCAAATGGCCAGCAATTTTTTATTTTGAAACAGGGTCTCACTCTGTTGCCCAGGCTGGAGTGCAGTGGCGTGATCACAGCTTGCTGCAGCCTTGAGCTCCCAGGCTCAAGTGATCCTCCCACCTCAACTTCCCAAGTAACTGGGACTACAGACACATGCTACTATGTTCAGCATTTTTTTTAAGAGATTGGGGGGGGGTCTCTCTATGTTGCCCAGGCTGGTCTTGAACTCCTGGACTCAAGCAATCATCTTGCCTCAGCCTCTCAAAATGCTGTGATTATAGACACGAGCCACTATGCTTGGCACTGGCTAGCAATTTTGAATGTCCTTTCATGTGTTCAGTTACTATCTGTATGTCTTTAACTCACATTTGGGCCACTCTCACCATCGTTCTCAGGAAGCAGCTTTAGCTTACCCCCATCAAGGGCAAAAACTGGAGTAGCCTCTACAACAGGGAAGCTCTTAACCTCCCTCCCTAAAGAAGGGAGTGATGGACGGTTGGGGAGTGAGGGTTGGTGTGTGAGGGCTGGGCAAAAAATCCTGGACCCAAGAATTTAAGAGTTTGGCTCTTGCAGGAGGCTGGAAGAGAGGAGAATTAGCTTTTTATTCTTTAGAATCTCCTACAACTGTGGGAAAATACATAATACTTAAATAGCTCTATCAATTGCCCTGGACATGATTTTTATTCATTTCTTGAGAAGAGCAGACCCAAGTCAGATGGTGGAGAGGGGCCTTGGCAGAGTCATGCATCTGGGTCTTCATTGTAACATTGCTGTTATTTATAGATATTTGTTGAATAAATATACAAACTACTTCAGTGATGTGGGTTTATTATCACCTCTTACTACCTCTCTTGCTTCACTTGGAAAACAGAAATGGTAATTATACCATTGTTCTACCTCTCCTGGAGAATAATTACTGTAAAGATTTTTTTTAAAGTGGAAAATGACAATTTTGAATGAGTGCAAAAATTGGTTACTATGGTAGATAGAATATGGCCTATGCCCCTATCCCCAGATTATAGAAAAAAGAAGTAAAATTGCAAATGGAATTAAGGTTGCTAATCAGCTGACCTTGACATAGAGACAGTACCCTGGATTATCCAGGTAAGCCCAATGTAGTCATAGGGTCTTTATATGTGGGAGAAGGAGGCAGAAGAGTCAGTGTCAGAGGAATGTGATATGAGAAAGACTCAAACAGCCATTTAAAGCCATCAATCTGGCTTTAAAGATGGAAGGAGACCCCAAGCCAAGGAATGCTGGTGGGCTCCAGAACCTGAAAAAGGCCAGAAAAGAGATTTTCCTTTACAGCCTCCAGAGGGAACACAGCCCTACGAGCACTTAGATTTTGGCCAAGAGAGACTCATTTTGGACTCCTTCCAAAACTGTAAGAAAATAAATTTGGATTGTTTCAAATCACTAAATTTGCAGTGATCTGGTACAGCAACAATGGGAAAACTAATACAATTACTTTCAAATGTTTTAGAACAGGAATGGGCCTTTCTAGATCATTAACCATAATCAGGTGTTTGTCATGAAGACTAAGGCCCCCATAGGTAAGGTCCTGGGTCCCAGTTAATTGAACATACCATAATATTGGCCAGGCATGGTGGCTCACACCTGTAATCCCAGCACTTTGGGAGGCCAAGGCAGGCAGATCACTTGAGGTCAGGAGTTTGAGACCAGCCTGGCCATCATGGTAAGACCCTGTCTCTACTGAAAATACAAAAAATTAGCCAGACATAGTGTTCACGCCTGTAATCCCACTGGGGAAGCTGAGGCAGGAGAATTGCTTGAACCTGGGAGGCAGAGGTTGCAGTAAACCAAGATTGCACCACTGCACTCCAGCCTGGATGACAGAGAGAGATTCTCCCAAAAACAGAAAAAAAAAAAGAAAAGAAAATACCATAGTTTTGATACAGACAGGAGGCAGGGAAATACTGAGTAGAAGAGAGCAGGGTCCCTGGCAAGGGTTTCACCCTCAAACCTGGACCCACAGCCCTAAATGAAACCATGCATTCCTGTTTTCCTGCCCAAATGTTGCCTTTTCCAAAACCACTGTGGCCCACCACACCCCCTACCCTGTAGCCATAAAAACTCTGAGCTCCACTGGCAGAGAAGCAGAGCAGCATAGAAGGAGAGAAGAGAAGAAGCATCTGAATGTCAAGAGAAGAAGCAGTTGAACACCAGAGACTACGGTCAGAGAGGAGTTTGGCCAGGGACGGTTGGAGAGGGGTTCGGCTGGAGACGGCCAAACTTCAGGGGAAGATTATCTTCCCTCTCCATCCACTTTCCAGCTCCCATCCAACTGAGATCCACTTCCATCACTCAATAAAATCCTCCGCATACACCACCCTTCAATCTGGGTGACCTGATTCTTCCTGGACACCAGACAAGAATTCGGGATGAACTGGGTGCAGGAACCCAAAAAGGCCGTCACACTGACTCTTCACTGAGCTCTTTAACACTTAAGCTGTCCACAGATGGCAAAAGTTAAAAGAGCATTGTTTGTAACACATGCCCTCTGGGGCTCCACAGGTCACGGGCAACCCCTAGACACTGCCACAGGCCGGTACAGGGTTTGTTCCTGCCGGTGCCCAAGGCACTTGCCCCAGCTCCTGCACCCTCTCACCTGTGTGCTCCCATTTCTGCAAGGGGTTTGAGCAGCCAAGGAAACAAGCCACACCCCTGTCACAAGTCCTATGGAGGGGAGACAGGAACTCTCCCATCTCAGTATCAACCATCAAAGCACATTCTATTGAAATACATTTTACATGTTTTTGCTATGGATAGCAGTGTTTCTGAAAGTGAGGACTGAGGGCGTATTAGTCCCCTAGGGCTGCCATAACAAACTAGCATAGTTTAAAGTAACAGAAATTTGGCCAGGCACGGTGGCTCATGCCTGTAATCCCAATACTTTGGGAGGCTGAGGCAGGTGGATCACCTGAGATCAGGAGTTCAAGACTGGCCTGGCCAGCATGGTGAAACCCCGTCTCTACTAAAAATATAAAAATTAGCCGGGCTTGGTGGCGCATGCCTGTAATCCCAGCTACTTGGGAGGTTGAGGCAGGAGAATCGCTTGAACCCAGGAGGCAAAGGTTGCAGTGAGCTGAGATCATGCCACTGCACTCTAGCCTGGGCAACAGAGTAAGACTCCATCTCAAAAATAAATAAAATAAAATAATAAAATAACAGAAATTTATTCTCTCAAAGTTCTAGAAGCTGGAAGTCTGAAATCAAGGTGTCAGGTGGGACAGGCTCCCTCTGAAGGTTCTAGAGAAGAATCCCTCCTTGCCTCTGTTAGCACCTGGAGGTTGCTGGCAGTCTTTGGTGTTCCTTGGCTTGTGGCAGCATAACTCCAATCTATAAGTACATCTTCACATGGCCTTTTTATATGTGCCTTTGTCTTCAAATCTCTTTCTTTTTATATCTATACCAGTCATTTAATTTAGAGCCCACCCTAATCCAATATAACCTCATTTTAACTAGATTACATCTGCAAAGACCCTTTTTCCAAATAAGGTCTCATTCAGTGGTACCGGGGCTTAGGACTTCAGCATATCTTACTAGGGGGCATAATTCAAGGCCACAAAAGACGGCCACTTCCTCAAAATTCTCTGGTGTGCTTGTTAAAGATGCAGATTCTGGGGCCCACCCCAGACTACTTGATTGGGTTTCTAGGGTTCAGGTCTAAGAATGTGCTTATTGAGTAACCCCCTCTGGCTGGGTACAGTGGCTCATGACTGTAATCCCAGCACTTTGGGAGGCTGAGGCGGGCAGATCACCTGAGGTCAGGAGTTGGAGACCAGCCTGGACAACATAGTGAAACTCCATCTCTACTAAAAATACAAGAATTAGCCAGGCGTGGTGGCACAAACCTGTAGTCCTGGCTACTCAGGAGGCTGAGGCAGGAGAATCCCTTGAACCTGGGAGGTGGAGATTGCAGTGAGTTGAGATCATGTCACTGCACTCCAGCCTGGGCGACAGAATGAGACTGTCTAAAAAAAAAAAAAAAAAACAAACAAAGAAAAACAAAATAAGCCATCCTCTCATGAATATCACTTATCCTAACATTTAAGAACCATTGATATTTGTAATGATTTTGTTTTTCATAATTTAAAACTAGGGGAAGACAGGCCGGGTGCGGTGGCTCATGCCTATAATCCCAGCACTTTGGGAGGCCGAGGTGGGTGGATCACGAGGTCAGGAGATCGAGACCACCCTGGCTAACACAGTGAAATCCTGTCTCTACTAAAAATACAAAAAATTAGCCAGGTGTGGTGGCAGGTGCCTGTAATCTCAGCTACTCGGGAGGCTGAGGCAGGAGAATGGCGTGAACCCGGGAGGCGGAGCTTGCAGTGAACCGAGATTGCGCCACTGCACTCCAGCCTGGGCGACAGAGCAAGACTCTGTCTCAAAAAAAAAAAAAAAAATAGGGGAAGACAATTAAGTCAAAGTCACTTCCTGGCTTTCAAATATTTATTTTACATATTTATAGAGGTGAAGATGCAGAGAAGTTCTCCTCTTGCATATCACAGGTATCCACAAGTTCCACAATATGCTAAAGGCTCCCAAGAAAAATATCAGGTGTTCAAATTCTTACATAAACACGAAACTGACGCTTTTTCCCTTTAAGCTTCCCACAAATGACCTCTAAGTTGGAAAACGTCTTGGCATAAAAACAAAAATACTGCTCTAAAGGAAAAAGAGAAGGTGGCCTTGGAGTCCCTGAAGCACAACGTGAAAGAAACAAGAGAAAGAAACCAGCTCTGATATGTTTTCCGACAGTGACCCAGGTGCCTCTGGAGGAGGTGGCTCAGGAAAGAGGGGAAAAGAGGAACAAAATAAATTATGGGGAATCTAAAAGGGGCAATTCGAATTTCTGGAAAAGTTCTTTCTAAGTGGCTTGTTAGCAATAAGGCAAGACACATGGACATATGTGTCCTAAATCAGTAACCCCTACCCTTTGTTTTTTCTAGCCAAGGTTGATTTGAAGAATGTTAAAGCACATGGATTGTATATAGAAATATCAGGAAAGACCCCGTCTCAAAAAAAAAAAAAAAAATCAGGAAAGATGGCTGCCAAAATATGAATGTGGCTGTCTCTGGATGACGGGATTTCAGGTGTTTTTTGTCTTTATAATTTTCTGTACTTGGCTTTATTTTATTTCAACAAGCAGGTATTATTTACAAAGTCAATAAGCAAATGGTTATTATTTAAAAATAGTTGTGCATATGAGTACGTTACATGTGAAAGTGAGATGGTAAAGAAAACAATGGGAAATGATCGTGTTCATCTAATCCATGAAGAGGCCCCTGCCCTTTGTAGCAGATCATTGTCTCCTGATTCAGGAACAAACAAAGGAAAAAGGCCAGGACCCGTCACCCTCTAACAAGTCATAATCAGTCTCCCATCCCCTCCCGCCTCTCAAATCTGAGGATGAGAAGGAAGTAGGAGAAGGAAGAGGGGAGGGCAGGTCAATTAGAGGAGAAGAGGTGAGAAGGGACCTGAGGGTTCCGGGGCTGAGACCCTCCTCAGGCAGCTGAGGGATTGGCTGGAAGATGGACGGAGAGTGGATCACAGATGAGCTTGCTGAGATTTTCATGTACTCATTAGATTTACAAGTTAATTTACTTTGTGGACCAGGCAAAGGGTATTATATTAAGAAATAAATGATTTAACTATTGGTCCATGTTTGGGACCACCTCAGTTTTTACACAGAACACCGTGCCTCATCAGATGTTTTTGCCTAACATGGCAGTAAAGGTAATTTTTCTCTAGGGAGTATCCCAGCTTTTAAATAATGTTTTCTAGAACATTTCTAGCTGACAGGGAGTTTATAGAGTTTAAAGTTTAAAATATAAGCTTACAGGGTTAAGCTTATATTTTTACTTTCTGACAGGTAAAAAAAACTTTGTAATCTTCTCCACACAGCAATATTTACCAGTAATCCACACTTCCAACCACAACATGATTTTTGCAGGGATAGGGTTAGGCTTGGGCTGACTAGAGATTTTCTTCAAAGAGCCTCCTCATCATCAAGGCCCTTTGGAGTTTAGAATGTGTGTGGAAGGGAAGATGCCAACGCGAAGTGTGTGAGAACAACAGAAGGAGGAGACTTTCTTTTATTTTTATTTTCGAGATGGAGTCTCCCTTAGTCGCCCAGGCTGGAGTGCAGTGGAGTGATCTCAGCTCACTGCAACCTCCGCCTCCCAGGTTCCAGCAATTCTCCTGCTTCAGCCTCCTGAGTAACTGGGATTACAGGCACGTGTCACCACGCCTGGCTAATTTTTGTATTATTAGTAGAGATGGGATTTGACCATGTTGGCCAGGATGGTCTTGAACTCCTGACCTCAGGTGATCCACCCACCTCTGCCTCCCAAAGTGCTGGGATTACAGGTGTGAGCCACTGTGCCGACGTATCTTTTAATTTTTAAAATAGAGATAGGGTCTCACCATCTTGACCAGGCTGCTCCTGAACTCCTGGCCTCAAGTGATCCTCCCATCTTGGACTCCCAAAGTGCCGGGATTACAGATGTGAGCCACCACATCTGGCCAGAAGGAGCAGACTTTGTCCAGAGAATTTTTAAAGAGAAAAAAAGCTGGTTAAAAGTGGGGATATCTGGGGCAGAGCACTTGGGAAGGTTATGGAAGCTGGAGGCCAAGAGGCGCCATCGCAGAACAACACAAAAATTCAGGTGAGGTGAGGAGAAGGGAGAGCAGCTTTGGGCAGCACAGAAGGCAGCAAATACAGAAAATTATAAAGATCAAAAACCTGAAATCCCACCATCCAAAGACAGCCACAAAGGTATTTTGGTAAACATCTTTCCTGATATTTCCATATTCAATCACGTGCTTTAACATTCTTTAAATCAATTAAAAAAAAACAAAAACAAAAAACAAAACAGGGTCTGGCTCTGTTGCCCAGGCTGGCATGCAATGGTGCGATCATGGCTCACGGCAACCTCTGCCTCCCAGGCACAAGCAATCCTCCCACCTCAGCCTCCTGAGAAGCTGGGATTACAGGCACGTGCTGCTATGCCCGGCTATTTTTTTTTTTTAGTAGAGATGGGGTTTTGCAAGAGCCTAAGTTGCCAAGGCTGGTCTCAAACTCCTGGGCTCAAGGGATCCACCTACCTTGGCCTCCCAAAGTGCTGGGATTACATGCATGTAATCCGTGCCCAGCCCACATCAATCTTGGCTAGAGGAAACAAAGGGGAAAGATTACTTATTTAGGACATGGACATCCATGTGTGCTGCCTTATTGCTAACATGCTCACAAACCACTAGAAAGAACTTTTTCAGAAACTTGAATTGCCTCTGTCAGATTCTCCAGAATTTCTTTTCTTCCTTCCTCCGTCCCTTTCCTGGGCCACCTCCTCCATAGGCACCTGTGTCACTGTCAGAAAACATAACAGAGCTTGTTTCTCTTGGGACCGCATTGTGCTTTAGGGGTTCTAGCCTAACCTTATCTTTTTCCTTCAGAGCAGTGTTTTTCTTGGGTATCTCTATGGAACCCATCAGGAAAGCTCATCTCTTGAGTACCCAGGAAGCTAAGAGGGCAATAGCTGGCCAGAGTAGATCAGGGAAAGGCAAGGGAAAACTCTATGCTCACCACTTAGCTTACTCCTACAAAGTGTGTGCAGCCCATATCCAGCCAAGTTATGACTTGCCTTTGAACAGTTAACTGAGCATGATACTGCCTGATTGAAGGGTGTGGAAAGGAAACCAACATTTGGTGAGCTCCTGCTCTGTACTCTGTACTAGTTACTTTTTACATTATTTTATTCAATCTTAAAAAATGCAGAGAGACAGCATTGGTATTGTTGACATTTTGCAGATGAAGAAACTAAGGCACAGGGAGGCTAAATAACTTGTCAAAGCCACCAAATTCCTAAGTGGCAGAGCTGATATTCAAATCCAGGTGTGATTTATCCAGCTCAAAAAATCATCATCCTTCTCGCTGGGTAGAAACCCTGTGGTCAACTAGAGAGTCCAGATCTCTACCTTTGTTCTTGCTTTGGGTTGCTGCTGCTATCCAATACAGAAGGACTTTGGCCTTGAACTGTAAAAGTCGTTCTTTAGGGTAGGCATTGCCATTGCCTGATGTGTTAGTCCAGGTCCTCTGAGAAGCAGACACCAAGATGGAATTAAATGTGCAAAGATTTTATTAAGAAAAATTCTGCTGTGAGAGACATGGGCAGGAGGAGAAGGCTGAGAGCCGTCAGATGGCAATGCAAGTCCGATCTCAAAGAAGAAAAGGAGGGAAGGTTGGATGAAGCATCCTGGACCACTGAGCAGTGTAAGGAAGGTTTGGCAAAAACCTTCAGCCATAAGAGAAGTCCCACATCTCCAGGAATGAGCCTGCCTTATTATCCCCTCCCTGCTCAGTTATCGGCTGGGAGGCGCGACGGGCAGCAAGGGTCTTAGTGCAAATGCTGGGACGGACAAAAAGTGAAAGACAACCCACAGAAGGTGAGAAAATATTTGCAAATCATATATCTGATAAAGGACTTGTCTCCAGGGTATATAAATAACACAATTCAATAATAAAAAGATAAATAACTCATTTAAAAGTAGGCGAAGGATCTGAATAGAAATTTCTCCCATAGACATATACCAATGGCCAATAAGCATGAGCAGATGCTCACCATCATTAGTTATTAGGAAAATGCAAACAAAACCACGATGGGATACACGTCACACTCACTAGGATGGCTATGATAAAAAAGAGGGACAATAACAAGTATTGGTAAGAATGTGGAGAAATTGGAACCCTTATACATTCTGGTGGGAATGTTAAAGGGTGGAGCTGCTTTGGGAAACAGTCTTGCAGCTCCTCAAAAAGTTAAACATCTATTTATTCTGTCTTTCTTGTATAAATTATACCTCAGAGCAATCAAACTATTGATGAGTCATTGTTTTCTTGATAGATTTCAGCTAATAAATAAAGAAGGAATGATAGAAATCGAGTCTTATCATTTTGCAACTGCTCTCACGTACGGGTACAGACAATGATCACCAATGGGCTGCTAACATTACAGACAACCAGGCATTGTGAGCCCCCTAGTGGAAGTTCACCATGTATGACATACTGTTGATAAATAATCAAACCTGAATCCAATACAGTAGACACTAGCCACGTGTCTATTTCCATTTCAGTTAACCTCTATGTGCTGTCCATTATGGTGGGCACTAGCTGCTTGTGGTCAACTTTAAATTAATTAAAATAAAATAAAAATAATTCAATCCCTCGGTTACACTAGCATAATAGCCACATGTGTAGATATAGAACATTTCCATCATCACAAAAAGTTCTATTGCACAGGGCTGAAAATCTACCCGTTTATAGGAAGTACAGGGGACTAAAGAACATAATTCACACAGTGTAAGGATTCTATCAGCAGATCTAGGATGTGGGAAACTTTATGGGACAAATGACCCAGTTCTTTCAAGAAATAAATTACAAAGGGGAAAAAGGAGAGAGGAAAGAACTTCAATTGAAAGAGATTGAAGAAAAACATCATCAAATGCAAAGCGTGACCTAATTTGGATCTTAATTGTAAAACTCTGAAAAGCATTAGGGAGGCAATTTGGGAAATTTGAACCTTGGATATTTTATGGTCTTAAGGAAACATTGTTATTTTTTAGTGATATTATGGTTATGTTTAATAAAAGAGTCCTTATCTTTTAGAGA
Source organism: Homo sapiens (assembly GCF_000001405.40). Classification (NCBI taxonomy): domain Eukaryota; kingdom Metazoa; phylum Chordata; class Mammalia; order Primates; family Hominidae; genus Homo; species Homo sapiens. The sequence continues at coordinate 28,471 of NW_025791761.1, read as the reverse complement.
TACATTCTGAAAGGTTACAGGAGGAATAGTCTAGATTTTTCTTTAAAGTAATACAGCATGGAAAAACAGTTGACTAGGGTATAAGATTTGCCATAATGTTGATAACTCTTGAAGTTTGAGACTCCATTAAATTGTTCCCTCTATCTTATGTTTATGTTTGACATTTTCCATAAGAAATGTTTTAAAAATTACTGGTTTTAAGTTTATTTTTATTTTTTTTCAGACAGGGTCTATGTTGCCCAGGCTGGCCTCAAACTCCTGGCCTCAAGCGATCTTCTCACCTCAGCCTCCCAAGTAGCTGGGACTACAGGTGTGCCACCATGCCCAGCTAAGTTTATTTTTAGAATCATAAACTAGGCCTGATTTTTTTGCTGTTATATCTTTTTTAGTCTCCATGTGAGAATGTTTGAAGCATAGAAGTAAATGGTTAAGACAGACAGGTGCGGACCAGGGAACAGGCTGGCATGTTTGGGAGATGGCATGCACAGCATCTGGCCACTCTTTAGGTGCTCATTAGTAAAATGTATGTGTCTTTCAAATAATTACTATCTTGTTAATAGGAAGTTTTAATTCAACTGAATAAATTCAATTCAATAAATTTTCAGAACAATTTGATAAATGTCTCATGAAGCCAATGTATAATAAAGTATTTTATCATTTGAGCACTTGATCTGTGCATAACACTCCCCTGGAGTCTGTGGATGATCCAAAAGAAAAAATAGGGAAAACTCCTAAAAAAATTATCTGGCCTTGTTAGAGAGGTAGGATTTATATGTATAGAATAATTATAGGAAATGACTAGAGGATTTCTGAGGATGGTTTAAAAAAAAATAAAAAGGAGAGTTGAAAAGGGACTTACAAAAAAAAAGGTAGCCCAAGGTTTTGCTCTAATCTAATGTTGTTGATAATGACAGTGTAAGATCTCAGAAAATGATAACCCAAAATGAAGACCTCAGAAGCAGCTCTCTCTGACCTTCTTCTCGCCTCCTGTCACTGGCCTCTCATTCTCCCCCAAGGCTAGCTACTGAAGAAACTCTTTGGCAAGGTGCATCTCAGAAACCAAAATCCATTTCCCCTAAAGCCAGCCATAAAACCTAAACATATTATTCTAACTCCACTCCTCCACCCACATCACCTTTCTGTGTAAAAACTGGCCATAAAGAAGCAATTTGACCTAGTTTGTCTGATTGTAGGTCATAAGATCTCCCCATTCCAGAGAGGGTCCAGCCCCATACCCAAGAGGAAGGAAGGCTGCACAGAGGCCAAGAAGAACCTAAATAGAGGCCAGGTGTGTTGGCTCACACCCGTAATCCCAACATTTTGGGAGGCCAAGGTGGACGGATCACCTGAGGTTGGGAGTTTGAGACCTGATGAAACCCATCTCTACTAAAAATACAAAAATTAGCTGGGTGTGGTGGTGCGCACCTATAATCCCAGCTCCTTGGGAGGCTGAGACAGGAGACTCACTTGAACCCAGGAGGCAGAGGTTGCAGTGAGTGGAGATCACACCACTGCACTCCAGCCTGGGTGACAGAGTGAGACCCCATCTCAAAAAATAATAATAATAAATTAAACATAAATAAATAATAAATAAATAATAGACAGGCCTTCTTGGGTTTCCCCACTCAGTCTATTATAGCTCATAGCCTTTCCGTCCACATTTTGGTGAACCTAAGCATGAAAGTAGACAGTTTCATCCGTATCTTTGGGTCTTCATTCCGAAGGCTCCTGTGTCATGTAAAACTATGGTCAAATACATTCATATGCCTTTTCTCCTATTACTCTGCCTTTTGTCAGTTGATTTTTGCAAACCTTTAGGGGCCACGGGGAAGTTTTCCCTTGGCTCTTATAACAGCTAACACAGGGCTTAGTACACAGCCAGCCTTTGTATGAGGCACTCACACTTTACCTCATTTAGGCTCATATTCTTGGGCAGGAAAATCGAGATCATAGTGGCCTGTATATTTTTCTCCCATATTTTAACTGTAGACACCAGGAATATCACTCCTCAAGCTTGCCTCACTCAACCTGAGCTGGTCTTTGCACACATACACGTGCCTGTGAGGAGGTGGTGGGGGAGTATGGGGAGACTGGGAAGATGTAATGGAAGCAAGACTCACCCAAAGGAAGCCCTTGGGCTAACTCACTATGGTGAGACTTGGTGTGAACTGGTGAGCTGAGCCAATGTACTTTTTTCTCTAGGGAAACTGATTTGCAAATACAGAAGGAATTATCTGCCTGGAAGAGGAGAGAGAAGGGAGCAAAGGCATAAAGAGCAAGAAGCTGAATCACATTAATGGCTAAACGCCAGCAGAAAGCTCCTGTGACTCAACCTGACTCTCCATTCTGATTTTTCCAAGGTCTAGTTATTTAGATTTTTCAAGTCCTCTTTGCACATTTATTCTTTTATAGCTAGCATGAATTTCAGAGTCTTAGGACTCAGATATGCAAAAATGTTTTTCTAATTCAAACTGTAGCATTTAGTTTAGACTCAGTCTCTTCTGGGTAAGTAAACATCAACTATGAAATTCTCCCTTCCTTCTTCTCCTTCCTTTCTCCCTGGAGAGATATGAATTCCCAGGTGGAACACAATGGGAGTGTCCATGGAGTGCTGGCATTAGGAGGAGCTCTGGTCTGAGCTTTGCTCACCCTCCCCAAGGGACCCACATGGTCCTAAATGATCTTTCTACCACATGCCTGGCTGATGGCTCTGACCCCAACAGCTCTGAGGCTGGTCCCATACTCTGCCTCTTCCTCCTTCTGTGGCCTAAATAGTCACCTCCACTTTCTCTTGGAGGGTCAAGGGCTCTTGGTTTTGTTCCCTGGACCATGCTGGCATTCACTGGCTTTTGAGAGGATTTCCCATTTTATGGAAAATCTAGAATCTGCCTGGACCTGTCCCTCAGCCACCACAGTCTGTTCAGGAACTGTTGAAGGTGGCACTTAAAATATATATATTTTAAATTTTTAACTTTTATATTAGATTCAGGGGTACATGTACAGGTTTGTTATATAGCTAGACTCACATCATGGGGGTTTGTTGTACGGATCATTTCATCTCCCAGGTATCAAGCCTAGTACTCAAGTGTCATTTTCTTTCTTTCTTTTTTTTTTTTTTTTTTTTTTTTTTTTTGATGGAGTCTTGCTCCGTCGCCCGGCTGGAGTGCATTGGAGTGATCTTGGCTCACTGCAACCTCCAACTCCTGGGTTCAAGCGATTCTCCTGCCTCAGCCTCCTGAGTAGATGGGATTACAGGCACGTGCCACCATGCCTGGCTAATTTTTGTATTTTTAGTAGAGATGGGGTTTCGCCATGTTGGTCAGGCTGCTCTCGAACTCCCAACCTTGTGATCCGCCCGCTTGGCCTACCATAGAGCTGAGATTACAGGCATGAGCCACTGCTCCCAGCTCAAGTGTTATTTTCTCTGCCGTTTTCCTCCTCCCATCCTCCACCCCCAAGTAGACCCCACTGTCTGTTGTTCCCTTCCTTGTGTCCACGTGTTCTCATCATTCAACTCCCACTTATAAGTGAGAACATGTGGTTTTTGGTTTTCTGTTCCTGTGTTAGTTTGCTAAGAATAATAGCCTCCAGCTCCATCCATGTTCCTGCAAAAGACATTTTTTATGGCTGTGTAGTATTCCATGGTATATATGGACCACATTTTCTTTATCCAATTGGATGCAGCACTTTCTTTCTTTCTTTCTTTTTTTTTTTTTTTTTTTTGAGACAGAATCTCGCTCTGTCACTAAGGCTGGACTGCAGTGGCATGATCTCGGCTCACTGCAAGCTCCGCCTCCCGGGTTCAAGCAATTCTCCCTGCCTCAGCCTCCCAAGTAGCTGGGATTACAGGCACCCACCACCACGCCTGGCTAATTTTTGTATTATTTAGTAGAGATGGGATTTTACCATGTTGGCCAGGCTGGTCCTGTACTCCTGACCTCAGGTGATCCACCCGCCTCAGCCTCCCAAAGTGCTGGGATCACAAGCGTGAGCCACCGTGCCTGGCAATGCAGCACTTTTCTATGAAACCTGTGCTCTCCCCAACTGCAACACTGGGGATTGGGCACAGCCTTTCTGTCTGGGTCATCACTTCCATGAGTCTTTTCAAAAGATGTGCTTTACTGTTTCTTCATTTTCTAGTTCATTATTTTTTTCCCTTATGATTCCCATCCTTCCACTTTCTTTAGGTTTATCCTATTGTTCTGTTCCTATTAGCTAAATATTTGGATGCTCTTTTAACGACATATTTGACTTAGATTTATTGGTGGGTAGGTAATACAGATGGTGTAAATTCTGGCTTAAACACTTGTGATAACAAACTTGTGGTTAGCATTCTCCAAGTATTCTTTCCCATTTATAATTTTCATTTCGGTCTAGAGATGATTGGTAAGTTTTTCTACATCTCTGTCTCTCGGGCACCCCCCACACTTCTGTTCAACCCTTTTGAACATACCTAGAGTAATATTTCTGGGATTCTGGCTTCACGTGATGTTTTCTAGTCCATCCTCTTGGCTTTCACAGGCCTCGTGTTTTTGTCTATCCTCCCCCGCAGGTGCCACCGAAGACAGTCAGATAGGCTGTCATGGCAAACACCAGCTTTAGAGAGGTTAAGTCTCTGGATTTTTACTTTCTTTTTTGTTTGTTTGTTTTGAGATGGAGTCTCGCTCTGTCGCCCAGGCTGGAGTGCAGTGGCACAATCTCGGCTTACTGCAACCTCCACCTCCCAGGTTCAAGCAATCCTCCTGCCTCAGCCTCCCAAGTAGCTGGGACTACAGGCGTGTGGCACCACGCCCAGCTAATTTTTTGTATTTTTAGTAGAGACGGGGTTTCGCCATGTTGGCCAGGATAGTCTTGATCTCTTGACCTCGTGATCTGCCCACCTCGGCCTCCCAAAGTGCTGGGATTACAAGCGTGAGCCACCGAGCCTGGCCTGGATTTTTACCTTCTTATTATCTATGGCAAGGATCTTCCTTTTTTCCCCCCAAGAGTTCAGACAAGTATTTTCTAGAAAGTTTAAAAATATATTTTATCCAGAATTTTAGTTCCATACCAGAAGACTTTTTCCGGACATCTAGTCTTTCAAACAACCAAAAATGGAAGTCATCATTTTTATAATATAAACACTGTTTTTTTCTACACTTTCCAAGTGGAAGATTTATTTTGGTTTTAAGGGCTTTCTTATTTTTAATATCAGTATTTAAATTATAAATTTCCCTCTGACTACCACTTTACCCTGTATTAATGATCAAGATAAAATTTTATTACTAGGTACAATGCAATATAATACTCTTTATTCTTGTTTCATTAATCTTCACAAAACCCAATGAGATGTATATGATTATTCTTCACTTTATCAATGAGGAAATTGAAGTGAAGGAAAATTAAATAATTTCCCCTAGGATCCTGGAGACAGTAGCATGCAGGGAAGCTGGGATTCCAACCAGGGTCTGGCTGAGTTCAAAATGGGGTCTTGCAACTCGTTCAATGGTTTTATGAGAAAAGAAAAACAGGATATTTAAGGTGAGAGTAAAAAGGAAAAACTGACATTAGATTTTAGGGTGTTCGTGTCAAAGTTACCTCACGGTTGGAAGTAAGGGAGAGAAAAGGATGCAGGTTATTATGGGGATGATAGCTGTCCAACCCAAGCCCAGAGAATATGGGGCAACCTGAGAATGTGTGGCAAAGCAGGAACAGGTGTGCACAGACACCTTCTGCGTTCATCCTGGGTAGACACAGTGGCAGAAACTCACCTTTCCCTGCCTAGTTCAAATTATTAACTGTGCTTTCTTGGCAATATCAATTTACCAAAAAAAAAAAAAAAACAAACAATGATTTTTAATCCGATGGCCATATGTGCAACGTATAGAACATCACTAATGAACACATATTTTTTAGCCCCAAATAAAATAGTCTTTGCTAATCCCAGACCTTGGCTCCAAGCCAGCTAGCTTCTTGCTTTCATTATTTGCAACAGAATCCAGAATTCAGAGTGAATAAAAGAGCCGAACAGGAATATAACTCCCGATAATATTGTCTCTGTGCCTTATGCACTTATCCTTTTTGTCTCTCCCCAGGGGAAAAGCAGTTATTCTTACTTATGCTAAATCCAGTTGTTCCCCACCGAGGTCATGTAAATCCTGGCACCGAGTATGCAGCAGAGTAAAGTCAAGGCAGTGGGAGGTGCTCACACAAGAGCAACAGGCGGCCCCAAAGCCCCAAACTGTTCCATCCATTTTCTCCTAAAAATAAAGGGTTCTATTCATAAAAAAACTTCATATATTCTTGTGATTTTTCTTACCAAAAAAAAGCCAACATGATATGCAGGCAAAGAATAACAACTCCTGGTTCACAAACCACGCCATCCTTTCATTTCCCAGAGTAAGCAAATAAACCAGGGAGAGGACATGCAGGAGAGTTAACTGTATTCAGCAGATAAAAAAACATCTTCTGCAAAAAGGGATCGGACCTCCAATTAGACCCCTAAGTGGTTCCATTTAAGGGAAACTGCCTCCTTTCTGCACATCCACTTAACAAAATGAATTACCCAAAGGCTAAATGTGAGAGATTTTATAACTTTATTTTAATGGGATTTCTAAATATCATAGATTTCATTTCTTTCCAGCAAAGAAGAATTGGTTACTTAGATTTTCCGAAGACTTAAAGATTATTTAGACCTTATTCTTCTATTCTCTCTCCTATTTTCAGTCTTTAAAAACTATCTTTCCATTGTAAATCCAAATTATTGTATGCTTTAGAATGCTTCCTCTACTGGGGATAACCTGCCCTTAAACTCTAGTAATCCCAGGCCCAACCTGACCCACCTGCCCTTGGCATCCCCAGTAGTTAAAGGATCAATATCTTGGGTTCACCTGTAATCCATATTTTGCATACCAGTATGCCTTGGCTCATCTGCTGGGAAGGTCTGTGCTAGGATTTATACTCAGGTGTGTTAATTATTGTATTAGTCCATTCTTATGCTGCTATGAAGAACTGCCCAAGATTGGGTAATTTATAAACGAAAAAAGATTTAATTGACTCACAACTCCTTATGGCTGGTGAGGCCTCAGGAAACTTATCATCATGGCAGAAGGGAAAGCAAACACATCCTTCTTCACATGGTGGCAGGAGAGAGAAGTGTGGAGAGAAGGGGAGAAAAGCCCCTCATAAAACCATCAGATCTCTTGAAAACTCACTATCATTAGAACAGCATGGTGAGCCATCCCAATAATCTAATCACCTCCTACCAGGTCCCACCCCCAACACATGAGGATTACAATTCAGATTACAATTCGAGATGAGATTTTGGTTGGGGACACAGCCAAACCTTATCAATTATCTATTGCAGCATAAGCAATTACCCCAAAATTCAGCAGATTAAAACAATATACATTCATTATCTTACAGTTTCTGTGGGTGAAGAATCTGGACATGGCTTGGCTGGGTCTTCTGGGGCTCTCACAAGGCTGCTATGAGCAGCAGGTGCTGCTATCATCCTCTGTTGAAGAATCCACTTCCAAGCTCACTCACATGAATGCTGGCAAGGCCAGTTCCTCCTTGGCTATTGAGCTGCAGGCTTCCTTTCCTCATTGGTGAGGATGCTCAATTCCTTGCCATGACAGTCTCTCCAGAGGGCAGTTTGCTTCAACAATGTGCTTCTCTAAAGTTATCAGGAAGAACAGAGAGAGAGAGAGTTAGGAGAAGGCAGTCTTCTGAAACCTAATCTCAGAAGTGCCATCTTATCACTTTTGCTGTATTCTACTCATTAGACACAAGTCATTAGGTGCAGCTCATATTTAAGGGAGGGAGTTACATGTGGGCATGAATACTAGAAGGTGCAGATGCCTGCAGACCAACTTAGAAGTCCGCTTACCAAACTAGGAGATAAATTGCTGAGTGGTAGGGGTAATACACATGTTTAACCTTGCTAGATAGTTCCAGATTACTATCTAGCAGACTATAAGAGTTGCCATTATTATGAGTTCTCACCAACACTTGCTATTGTCAGTCTTTTTAATTTTTGCCAAGCTGTAGGGTATAAAATGGTTAATGAGGTTGAGCATATTTTCAAATGTGTACCACATAGAATTGTTCTTCTGTGAAATGCTATTCATGTTGTTTTTCTATTTTTCTATTAAATTTTTTTTATTGATTCAAAGGAGCTCATATAGTCTCAGTTCTAACCCCAAGGCCATTATATGTGTGGTGAGTATCTTCCTCTAGTTTTTAGCTTATGTTTTCACTCTCTTGGTATCTTGATGTCTTTGGAGAAGCCATAGTTTATTTTTTAAGACAGGGTCTCACTCTGTCACCCGGGCTGGAGTCCAGTGGCATAATCACGGCTCACTGCAGCCTTGAGCTCCTGGGCTCAAGTGATTCTCCTGCCTCAGCCTCCCAAGTAGCTTTGACAACAGGTGTGTGCCACCATACCCAGCTAATTTTTGTAATTTTTTTTTAGAGAGGGGGTCGCACTATGTTGCCCAGGCTGGTCTCAAACTCCTGGGCTCAAGTGATCCTCCTGCCTTAGCCTCCCAAAGTGCTGGGATTGCAGGTGGGAGTCACAGTGCATGACCTGTTTATTTTAATGTAATTGAATTTATGTTTCCAGTTTTGCATTAAGAAATCCTTCCTTCCCTCAAGGTTAAAAAGATGATATTCTACATTTTCTTCTAAAGTTAAAAAATTTTCCCTTTAAGTCATCTATCCATCTAAAATTGACTTTTGTGTATAGTGTAAAGTTGGAGTCAGTTTAGCTTTTCCCTTATATGGCTAATCAATTAATTTTTATTAAATAGTCCTCCCTCCCCCTAATGTGCAATGCCAGTTTTGTCATAGGTGAGGTTTCTGTTTATTCATCTATTCACAAGTCTTATTCTAGATTCTGTTTTGGTCCATGGATCTATCTCTGAACTTATATCACAGTCTTAATTATGATGATTTTATATCAATTCTTAATACCTGGTAGTAGTGTAATTACTGACACTTGTTCTTCTTCAGGATTATTTTGGCTATCTTTGGCCCTTTGCTTTGCTATATAAAATATATAAATTTTAGGGTCAGCTTGTCAAGTTCTGTGAATAGAAAGTCATTAAATCTACAGCTTATTTTAGGGAAATACTATTTGTATCTTCTTTTTGTCTTTTACTGAAGTTTTTATTATTTTTTTCTGTAAAAGCCTTCACATTTTTGTTAGATTTACTCCAAAGGTGTCTTTTTTTTAATTGCCGTTGTAATTGGCATCTTTAATTGTGTGTTCTAAATATTTGTTGCTGAAGTATACATGTGTAATTGTATTTTGTATATTGACCTTACTTAAGGCAGACTTGCTAAGCTCCTATGAAGTCTAATGGCTTTTTGATGGAGTTTTTGAGTTTCCTAGCAAGATATTCACAAGTAGGAATAGTTTGTTTCTTTCAGGTCCTCATACCTTTTATTCCTCTTTCCCATTTTAAGGGCAAGCTAGATCACCTAGTACAATGTTACAGAAGTGGTGAGAACAGTCATCTTTACCGTGTTCTTAGTTTTAAAGAAAATGCTTTTTAAGGTCTCACCATTAAGTGTGATATGTGCTGTTAGATTTTTGCAACTTCCCTTTATCATGTTAGATAGTTTCCTTTTAGCCTTCATTTACTAAGAATTTTTAAAATCATTGATGACTAGATTTAATCAATTGCTGTTTTTTGTATCTATTGAGCTAATAATATTTTTTCATTAATCTGATAATGTGGTAAATTACTCTAATGTGAAATTAAGCTTTTATTGTAGGAATAAACTATCTTGGTCACAATAGATTAACTTCTTTATACATTGCTGATTTGATTTGCTAAATTTTTAAAAGGATTTTCAAATAAATTACACTGGCTTGAACGTTTCTTTTCCAGGTCTTTATCTGGTTTTAGTATCAAAATTACACTAGCCTTATATAATGAGTTGGATGCTCATCTCTCTTTTTCTATTCTCTGCAAGACTTCACATATGATTGCACTGATCTCTTGAATGTTTGGTTGTGCTTACCTTTTGAACTAACTAGGCCTGGTGTTTTCTCTGTTGGAAAAATTATAGCTAGTAATTAAATATATTTAGTGATAATAGCAGAGCTGTCTTTTTTTATAAATTATTTTATTTCTTCCAAAATTCTTTTTTTTTTTTTTTTTTTTTTTTTTTTTGAGATAGAGTTTTGCTCTGTCACCTAGGCTGGAGTCCAGTGGTGTGATCTCAGCTCACTGCAACTTCCACCTCTCGGGTTCAAGCAATTCTCATGCCTCAGCCTCACAGTAGCTGAGATTACACGCATGTGCCACCACGCCCAGCTAATTTTTATATTTTTAGTAGAGACAGGGCTTTGCCATGCTGGCCAGGCTGGTCTCAAACTCCTGGCCTCAAGTGATCCGCCCTCCTGGGCTTCCCAAAGAGCTGGGATTTCAGGTGCGACCCACTACGCCCAGCCCCATGATGATTTAGAGGGACTATCTTCAAACCAGTACAAACAGTTCATAAATAACATCTGCCCGTTTTCTAACCAATTGAGTAATTTGTTGCACAATAAGCTACCTCACATCTTTCAGCAAGAAAAACTTTAAATTAGAATAGTAAAGATATTACACAATGAATTAGGACACAATTAAAATTTGCTTTAAATGTATCTTTGTGGGAGATGACACCACACTTCTACTCAATGAAGAGAAACATTTTTACAGTCCAGAGGTCTTTGATATTTTAAACATCTATTAAGCCATGAATTCATAGGGAATAGGTTCCAGCAGCTCAGGCTTCTTCCCGCTGGTTCTCACAAAGTGTGTTTCTCTGGGTGGAGCAGGCTGGCACTTCAGCTGAACCCGGGTAGCTTTCTCTTTGGCTTCCTTCTTTTTCTGATCATTTTCCTTCATGTGTTTCAGGAAACTATCAGGGATCTTAGAATGTTTAACATGCTCAATATGCACATTAATTTTCTTGGCAAGAATCTTGCCCTTAGCTTGTTTGTTTATAACAATGCCAACAGCACGCTGGGGAACACTGTAGACTCTCCCAGTTTTGCCATGGTTAACATTTGTGGGGCATTCCTTTTTGAACAGTATCCATTTTCTTGATGTCTACAATATCACCTTTCTCATAGATTCACATATACGTGGCCAAAGGAAAAACCCCATGTTTTCTAAAAGGCCTAGAGAACATATATCTGGTGCCTCTCCTCTTTTCCCGTGTTCATCATTTTGGCGAATTACTGGAAGACGGAGGTTCCAGCCAAAAGGCAATAGCAGAGCTTTCTATCTGGTGTGTTCTGAGTGGGCCTCAGAGATTTTAAACACTCAGCCCTGAAGAGGCCAAGTCAGATGGGTGAGAAGTGGATGTGGGGCTGCTGGAGGCCCTGGCCAAGTTGCCTCTGGTCATAAGCATTCTGATCTCTCTTTTTTGTTGTTTTTGAGTATGATCTCACTCTGTCACCCAGGCTAGAGTAAACAGTGGTGCCAATGTGGCTTACTGCAGCCTCAACCTTCCATGCTCAAGCGATCCTCCCACCTCGGCCTCCCAAAGTGCTGGGATTACTGGCATGCATCACCATGCCCAGCCCTATTTCCATGTCTTTACCCTACTGTGCCATTGAGGTATTTTGCCATTGAGGTACTGGGGAGACAAAATAACCTCCAGTCAAGAATCACTACTCCAGGGCCTGAAATCCTGTCTTTAAACTTCTGCCTGATGCCCAGAGTCCTGGTATCTGCTGACAAAACCTCCTAATACCAAACACAAGGCAATTTCTCCAAATATAGCTTATTCCTGGCGTTCCCATGGCCATGCCCCGCTGTCTTGGGAAGATGCTGCTGTAATTCTCACAGCCTCTTTCTCATGCCAACAGCTTGGCTGGACTGTCGATTGCTCTTTAGGGAGATACCATTTTCTCTGACTTGAGCAAGTGACCCTTTATCCCCCATAAGAAGATTTCCTATGGGGATGGGGTGGGGCTGGTTTCGGTCTTTGGATCTGTCCTGTTGAGATCCAGTTAGTTCTTCCAAGAGTGGCTGTGTCATGAGACATCACAGCGAGAATGTGTTTGTTTTCCTTGAGAAAGTAATCTTTCCAGTGGTTTTATGTGAGAGAGCCTGTCCTTTTCCTATGGAAGAAGACATGGAGTTTTCTGAAGGGGATAAATTGCCCCATTTGACTGTGTAACAAGTCAGTTGGGAATGAGCAGCAGAACCACAGAATTGCAGCCTTAATAGATGCCAGCAGTACAAAGGTGGTGGTGAGCTTAATAAGAGCCTTAGAGAGAGGGGGAGAGAGTGACTGATTGACTGAAAGCTTAGAGCAGAGAACAGAAGGAGGGAAAAAACATTGTGTAATGCTTTTCATAGAGAAAATAGTCTAAGAACCACAGGGTGGGGAGCAAGAGAAAAAGTGTAGAACAAATTGTACCTTGCACTATCCTAAACTTGGCCTAGTTAATTACAGTGGGATAGGCGGTGCCAAGAGGGCCCAGAGCCTGAGACAGATATGACATTGGGTGGAAATCCACTCAAGCATGTAAGAAATGGTATCCATGGCTTTAACATGTGAGAAGATTATTCCTCTCATGGGAAAACATGGCGGCTTTCTTTTGCTAGGTAGTCAAGGGCTTAGGTTTCTTCTCTCTTGTTCTGTGATGTGTTGGATGCTGCCTTTATCTTCATGAACAAGATGACCCACTCCCACTCCCATATTCCTGCTGGCAGAAAAAGCGAAAGAAGAGAATCATATCCCTTCATCTTAAAGGCATAACCCAGAAGTTATACACATTATTTTGACTTGCATTCCATTGGCCAAAACCTAGTCATCTGGCTAATATGGTCACACCTAGCTGCAAAGGAAGCTGGAGATTCTGGGAGGCCATGTGCTCAGATAAAAGCAGGGGTTTTCTCTGAGAAATTTCTCTACCACCACTAACCTGAGTGCTTCTTGTCCTCAATCTTCTTCCCTTTCCTCCAAATTCAATTTCCTAAAAGTCCAGAGAACACATCTGGCAGACCCATCCTCAGAAGACAGAAGATGAAAAAGAGGTGGCAAAGATGGGATCCTCTTTAACAACAAGGGTTGTTAAATAGTTAGATTTTGTTACCACTAAAAGAAAGGGGACATTAAGTGTCATCAGGAAAGCCAAGTGATACTTGGAGTCCTCTCCTGGGGTCCCCACTTCTACCAGAAGAGTGACCAGCTAGTCATTGCGATGAAACTCTAGAGAAAATTCAGAGGCAATGCTGTGGGCTCTTGGCCAGTGAGGGGCACAGGCTTGTTGAGTTGGGACCTGAAGTACATCCAGTGTTCTAGGGCAATCACCCCTAGGAACACTCATCTTCCAAAAGGAGTGAAATTTTATTTATGGAAGCCAGCACTTCTCTGGGGCTGAAAGAGTTAGAGACCTAATGGGGAAATGTATTTGGCCACATTGGAAGAGATGCTTCATCATACCCAGAGACTCTCGATTCTGTGGGCTATGGTCTGTCAGCTGGAAGATCGCAGCGGTCTAGCCTTTAACCAGGGGTCTGTGTTTGCCAAACATCACAGGATTTTTTTTTTTTTAAGAGATGGGGTTCTCGCTTGTTGCCCAGGCTGACCTTGAACTCCGGGGCTCAAGTGATCCTCCTGCCTCAACCTTGAGAGTAGCTAGGACTACAGGCACATGCCACTACTCCTGGCTAATCACAAGATTTTAAAAGCAGTAAAGACAGAAATGGAGTTAGGAAGGAACTATTTACATAAAAAATATTTTAACACAGTGTATGTAATTTTGTAAGATTATATATCTTATTTTACATGTAAATAAACCTTTTATTTTAGTTTTACATTTATAGAAAAATTGAAAAGATAGTGTACATAGTTCCAGTATGTATCTTCTATTTTTAAATAAAGGCATTTCAATTCTGAACATTTGAATAGGAAATTAGGAACAAAAACTAATCGGTAATAGAAAATTTTAATAGGTACCATTTTCTGTTCCACTTCCTGAACATGAGATTTTTAGAAAATCACTTAATGTCTTTGAATCTCAGTTTCCTCACTTATAAAACAGAGATAAAACTAGTGTTTCACAGAGTTGCCATGGTGACAACATAATAAAGTGCATGTGAAATGTCTGCATATGGACACAATGTAAATCCTGAAACACTGATCAAATCTTAGTTCTAGTAATTATTCTGCAGTACCCTCTAGTATTTTAACTGATTGGGCACAGTATGTGAGTTGACAAGCAGGGTTTAATGTGCTTCATTAGCTTGTTGTAGGGTGGGCTACCATCTTACTAAGGAGGGGTTGCTAAACTGATGTTGGGGAAAAAAACTCAGAAACTATTAAACAATTAAATTTCCACTTGTAAAACAAGTGGAGTAATTTCACTATGAAAATAAATATAAAATTTTAGATGATTTAATAGCTTTCCCCAAGTAAAACATATTTTATATGACTCAGAAAGGATATAAAGAAGAAATCATTCTTGGCTGGGGATAGTGGCTCATGCCTGTAATCCCAGCACTTTGGAAGGCTGAGACAGGCAGATTGCCTGAGCCCAGGAGTTTGAGGCAAGCCTGGGCAACATGGCAAAACCCCATCTCTACCAAAAATAGAAAAACTAGCTGGGCGTGGTGGTGCATGCATGTAGTCCCAACCACTCAGGAGGCTTAGGCAGGAGGATCATTTGAACCTGGAAGGTAGAGGTTGCAGTGAGCTGAGATCACACCACTGCACTATGGCCTGAGTGACAAAGCCATTTTTTTCTGTCTGGAAAAAAAAAAATAGAAGAGAAAAAGAAAAAAGGAAAAAGAAAAGTAAAGAAGTAGTTCTTAAGAGTGTCTTGGATTGACTATGCCTGCTTCCTAGGATAAGGGGCAGTGAAATTGGACAAGATTTGTGTCTGGAAATGAGGTGTAGAATTTTATGAGACAGAAGAAATGAGAATTTCCCTAATTTGCTGAGGCATCTGGAGGTGTTTGTTACAGATTTTTAATAATGATTGTATCTGGGTAAGGAGATACAGGAGTAATTTTTATTTTCTACTTTTCAATGTGTCCAAATTTTCTACAATGCACATGCATTTTTCTTTTCTTTTCTGTTTTTTTTTTTTTTTTTTTTTTTTAGGCTTAGTCTTGCTCTGTCACCCAGGCTGGAGTGCAATGGCTCACTGCACCCTTGGCTCACTGCACCCTTGGCTCACTGCACCCTTCACCTCCCAGGTTCAAACAATTCTCCTGCCTCAGCCTCCTGACTAGCTGAGACTACAGGCACCTGCCACCATGCCCGGCTAATTTTTTGTATTTTTAGTAGAGATGGGGTTTTCACCATGTTGGGCCAGGTTGGTCTCAAACACCTGACCTCAGGTAATCCACCCGCCTTGGCCTCGCAAAGTGCTGGGATTACAGGCGTGAGCCACCGCGCCTGGAGCATTTTTCTGTTGTAATAATATTTATACTATTCAGCCTTTTAAAAAAAATCTGTTTATTTTTGACAACATGGATGATCCTGGAGGACATTATGTTAAGTGAAATAAACCAGGCACAGAAAGGCAAGTACTGCATAATCTCACTCATAAGTGGACTCTTAAAAAGTCAAAGTCATAGAAGCAGAGAGTAGTTGGTGGTTACCAGAGGCTGGGAAGGAGTGGGAATCTGGGGAGATGTTGGTCAAAGGATACAAAATATCGGTTAGATAGGAGGAATAAGTTCAAGAGATGCATTGTGCAACATGGTGACCATACTTAATAACAATGTATTGTTTTTTGTTTTGTTTTGTTTGTTTGTTTTGAGACAGAGTCTCTCACTCTGTCAGCCAGACTGGAGTGCAGTGGCACAATCTCGGCTCACTGCAACCTCCACCTCCTGGGCTCAAGCAATTCTCCTGCCTCAGTCCCCCCAGTAGCTGGGATTACAGGCGTGTGCCACCATGCCTGGCTAATTTTCGTATTTTTAGTAGAGACAGGGTTTCACCATGTTGGCCAGGCTGGTCTCGAACTCCTGACCTCAGGTAATCTGCCCACCTCTGCCTCCCAAAGTGCTGGGATTACAGGCATGAGCCACTGCTCCCAGCCAATGTATTATATTCTTAAACATTGCTAAGAGAGTAGGTTTTGAGTGTTCTTACCATCAAAAAATATGTGAAGTAATACATATGTTAATTTGCTTGATTTAGCCATTCCACAATGTATACATATTTCAAAATAACAGGTTGCACACAATAAATTATACAGTTTTTATCAATTTAAATTTTTAAGAATTTAAACGTTTCCCTTTTTACACCATATACAAAAATCAAGTCAAGACGGATTAAAGCGACCATGTGCGGTGGCTCACGCCTGTAATCCCAACACTTTGGGAGGCTGAGGCGGGTGGATCACTTGAGGCCAGGAGTTCGAGACCAGCCTGGCCAACATGGTGAAACCCTGTCTTTACTAAAAATGCCAAAAGTTAGCTGGGCATGGTGGTGCAAACCTGTAATCCCAGCTACTTGGGAGGCTGAGGCACGAGAATTGCTTGAACCCGGGAAGTGGAGGTTGCAGTGAGCCACTGCACTCCAGCCTGGGTGACAGAGCAAGACTCTGTCTCAAAACAAAACAAAACAAACAAACAAAACACACACGCACACACACACACACACAAAGAGATGGATTAAAGACTTAAATGTAAAACCCAAAACTATAAAAACCTTGGAAGACAACCTAGGCAATACGATTCTGGACACAGGAACTGGCAAAGATTTCATGATGAAGATGCCAAAAGCAATTGCAACAAAAGCAAAATTGACAAATGGGGTCTAATTAAACTTAAGAGCTTCTGCACAGCAAAGAGTAAATGAAGTAAACAGAAAACCTACAGAATGGGAGAACATTTTTGCAATCCATGAATCTGACAACGGTCTAATATCCAGCATCTATAAGGAACGTAAACAAATTTACAAGAAAAAAACAACCCCATTAAAAAGTGGGCAAAAGACATGAACAGATACTTCTCAAAAGAAGACATACATGTGGCCAACAAGCATATTAAAAAAAGCTCAACATCACTGATTATTAGAGAAATGCAGATCAAAACCACAATGAAATACCATCTCATACCAGTCAGAAAGGTTGTTATTAAAAAGCCAAAAAAATAACAGATGCTGGCGAGGTTGCAGAGAAAAGAAACACTTATACACTGTTGGTGTTAGTTCAGCCATTGTGGAAAGCAATGTGGCAATTCCTAAAGAGCTAAAAACAGAACAGCCATTCAATCCAACAATCCCATTATTGGGTATATTCCCAGAGGAATATAAATTATTCTACCATAAAGACACATGCACGCGAATATTCATTGCAGCACTGTTCACAATAGCAAAGACATGGAATAAAAAAAAAAGACATGGAACCAACCTAAATGCTCATCAGTGGCAGATTGGATAAACAAAATGTGGTACATATACACCATGGAATACTATGCAGTCATAAAAAGAGAACGAGATCACGTCTTTTGTGGGAACATGGATGGAGCCGGAAGCATTATCCTTAGCAAATTAACGCAGGAACAGAAAACCAAATACCACATGTTCTCACTTATAAGTGGGAGCTAAATGATGAGAACTCATGGACACAAAGAGGGGAATAACAGACGCTGGGGCCTACTTGAGGATGGAGAGTGGGAGGAGGGAGAGGAGCAGAAAAAATAACTATTGGGTACTAGGCCTAGCACCTGGGTGATGAAATAATCTGTACAACAAACCCTCGTGGCATGAGCTTACCTATATAACAAAGCTACTACTGTACCACAAATCTAAAATGAAAGTTAAAAAAAGAATTTAAGTTATTTAAATGCCAAGTGTCAATATTCCAAATATTAAAACAAAAACTGAGCAGTATTTATTTTAATCTGGCCAAAAAAAACCCCAAAAAACTCATGTTTCCCAAAACTTTCTACCAGTTACTAAGCATGTTCATTATACTTCAGACAAGCCAGCCATGAAAGTGAAACGATTCCTATAATGAATGGATGAAAGAATATTTCTGCTTTGTTCACTTTTGAAATCTTTGATATATCAATTTCAGCTATAAAATCTTAGAATTTCTCTTTTATATAATTACTAATGTTTAAAGAAAAGCTGCCTGTAGTCACCTGGAAATTAGAGAGGATTAAAAATAAAGAGCAAAAAAATTTTTCTTTCAAAAACAATGTTCAAATGAACTGACTTGAAGAAACATATCAAAAATAGATATTTGATTTGAGCCTGCCCCTTTATTTTGGAAGTCATTTCGTTTATACAGTTGGGAAACTCAAAGATGAAACACAGGTATACTCAGCCTAATGTGATAGAGCCGCGGCCTGTGCTCCTCAGGTGTGGTCCACTGACCAGCGTCTCAGCATGCCCTGGGAGCTGGTTAAACGGTGCAGAATCTCAGGCCCCACTCCAGAGAGGCAGGGGCTGAATCTGCATTTTTGACCAGATCCCCTGGTGATTTGTATGCACATCAAAATTTGAGAACCCCTGTTTAGTGAATATTTGGCTAATTTTGAGCCACCCTACATGATAGTATTGGCTAGGAAAGCCAGCTGTTCTGGAGGAACTGCTGAAATGAGGAGGTAGTTCATTGATGAGTACCTTCAAGAAGCTCAGCTTCCTATCACTGACTCATCTAGAATCCTGCCCAAACTGGTCAGGAGTAAATACTAAAAGTGAGGGAATGGCTGGCTGTGGTGGCTCATGCCTGTAATCCTAGCACTTTTGGCGGCTGAGGCAGGTGCATCATTTGAGCCCAGGAGTTCAGAACAGCCTGGGCAACATGGCAAAACCCTGTCTCTACTAAAACTACAAAAAAAAAAAAAAAAAAAAATAGCTCAGCATGGTGGCAAGGGCCTGTAGTCCCAGCTACTTGGGAGGCTGAGGTGGGAGCATCACCTGAGCTTGGGAAGTCGAGGCTGCAGTAAGCTGAGATTATGCCACTGCACTCCAGCCTGGGCTATGAGAGGGAGACCCTATCTCAAAAAAAAAAAAAAAGAAAGAAAAAAAAGTAATTATTCAAAGAAATTATCAGGGCTGTATGCAAAAAAAAAAAGTGTATTGAAGGAACTTTTAATGTTTTTATCACAGAATAATTGAAAACAACTTAATATTAAATAATAAGAGATTAAAGAAACTGTGCATCCAATAGCTGCAAAATATCTATTAAAAACTGTCATAAGGCCGGCGTGGTGGCTCACTCCTGTAATTCCAGCACTTTGGGAGGCCAAGGCAGGCAGATCACTTGAGGTCAGGAGTTCAAGACCAGCCTGGCCAACATGGTGAAACACCATCTCTACTGAAAATACAAAAATTAGCCAGCCATGATGGTGGGTGCCTGTAATCCCAGCTCCTCAGGAGACGGAGGCAGGAGAATCGGGTTTGAACCCAGGAGGCGGAAGTTGCAGTGAGCCAAGATAGCACCACTGCACTCCAGCCTGGGCAACAGAGTGAGACTCTGTCTCTAAATAAATTAATTAATTAAAAAACTGTGTCATAGAAAAAAGTATTGGCATGGGGAAATGTCCACATTGTGTTCCTGAGTGAACAAAGCTGGCCATAAGACATGCAGGATTCCATTTTCATTTTAGAAATACATATTTATGCACAAGAAAAAAAACCCTGCAAGGGCACACGCCAACATATTAACAGCAGTGACAGATTTGGAGTGCTTTTGTCTGAGGTGTTTGAACCAGAGCGACTCCATCTTGAATAGGGGCTGAGTAAAGTGAGGCTGAGACCTACTGGGCTGCATTAATAGGAGGTTAAGGCATTCTTAGTCACAGGATGATAGGAGGTCACCACAAGATTCAGGTCACAAAGACCCTGCTGATAAACAGGTTGTGGCAAACAAGCCGGCCAAAACCCACCAAAACCAAGAGGGTGATGAAAGTGACCTCTGGTCATCCTCACTGCTCATTATGTGTTAATTATGATGCATTAGCATGCTAAGAGACACTCCCACCAGCCCCATGACAGTTTACAAATGCCATGGCAATGTCAGGAAGTTACCCTATATGGTCTAAAAGTGGGAGGAACTCTCACAGCAGCGAATTGCCCATCCCTTTCCTGGAAAACTCATGAATAATCCAATCCACCCCTTGTTTAGCACATAATCAAGAAGTAACTATTAATGTAAGTATACTCAGCTGAGCAGCCCATGCCACTGCTCTGCCTATGGAGTAGCCATTCTTTTCTTTCATTTTTTGTTTCTTTTTCTTTTCTTTTTTATTTTTAGGGATTGGGGTCTCGCTATGTTGCCCAGGCTGGTTTTGAACTCCTGGGCTCAAGCCATCTTCCTGCCTGGGCCTCCCAGCAGGTGTGAGCCACTGTGCCCAGCACTTTTGTTTCTTTACCTTCTTAATAAACTTGCTTTCACTCGGCTCTATGGACTCACCCCAAATTCTTTCTTGCACGAGGTCCGACAACCCTCTCTTGAGGTCTGGATTGGGACCGCTTTCCGGTAACACTTCTGTTTTGATTGTGCTTTTCACATTTTCTGCATTAAGTGTGTATTTATTTTGTATAAAGTCAGTCATAAAAAAGGCCAATATTCAACAATGACATTAACTTCCCTGTCAATGCTGACTGTATGATACCATTGCCAGAGGACCTTCAACCCACCAACCAAACACCACTAGAACAATGGATGCTTCTCACCTGCTGGCCGGCAAAAAACCCCTGAGCACTGGGACATTTAAAAACCTTCCCAGTGTTGAGAACCGCTGTTCAGTAATGGTTGGAAGGATATTCATAGTTCTTTCATTTTTGAAAATCATTCCTGCTGGGCGTGGTGGCTCAAGCCTGTAATCCCAGCACTTTGGGAGGCTGAGGCAGGCGGATCACCTGAGGTCGGGAGTTCGAGACCAGCCCGACCAACACGGAGAAACCCCGTTTCTACTAAAAATACAAAATTAGCCGGGCATGGTGGCGCATGACTCTAATCTCAGCTACTCGGGAGGCTGAGGCAGGAGAATCGCTTGAACCCGGGAGACGGAGGTTGCAGTGAGCCGAGACCACGCCATTGCACTCCAGCCTGGGCAACAAGAGCGAAACTCCGTCTCAAAAAAAAAAAAAAAAAAAGAAAAAATCATTCCTACAATATGTGTTTTAATTACTAAAGGAAAAAAATGTTTCTCATGATACTCCTGACACCAAATGCATGGGGTTTTTTTCCCCTCATACTAACAAATTTTCCAACTCTCTGACACCAACTTTGTGTCTTACCATTTAATTCAATTCTGACACTACCCGGAGTTCACACAGACCCCACAGGTTAAGTACCCAGTCCCACAAAACTGCCCACTTACAACTTCAGATGCCAGTTGCAAGTCAGGGGTCCCTGGGTGACTCACGCTTCTGTCTGACTTGGCTACAAACCAGACTTCCATGTCCCACTTAGGTTCCACCTTTTGCTCTAGCCCCTCACAGCGACGAGAGTGAAATCAGCTGGTGACCATTGAGCAAACCCTGGAGACAAAAACTCCTTATCTGAGGAACTTAGAAGGGAGCAAAGACACCTGGTGACTATCAAACAGCCAAAACTCCTTATCTGGGGAATTTAGAAGTAATTAAACTTCCCTAGTATCTAAAGTCAGCTTCTGGTTCCAGGCCTTTTTCAACTTAAAATGTATAAGTAACTAGAATTTCTATACATCTCCAGAATGCCATGCGGAAACTCAGTGTGCAACCCTTGCTGACATTAAGGCACCAAAATGTCTACAAATGTAATCATTTATCATGACCTACAAGGCTAATATGGCCCAAATTACCCTTCAGCTCCTGCCTTAAGGTCCATAAATACCCCTAAGAAAAAAAAAGCAGTGTGGGGTGCGCTCAGTCCTCTTTCTGAGATGCCCCGCTGCACTATTCTGCAGTATTCTTTCTTTCTAACTTTCTTTTTTTGAGACGGAGTTTTGCTCTTGCTGCGCAGGCTGGAGTACAATGGCGCGATCTCAGCTCACCGCAACCTCCGCCTCCCGGGTTCAAGTGATTCTCCTACCTCAGCCTCCCGAGTAGCTGGGATTAGAGTCATGCGCCACCATGCCCGGCTAATTTTGTATTTTTAGTAGAAACGGGGTTTCTCCGTGTTGGTTGGGCTGGTCTCGAACTCCCGACCTCAGGTGATCTGCCCGCCTTGGCCTCCCAAAGTGCTGGGATTACAGGCATGAGCCACCACGCCTGGTCTTCTTTCTTTTTTCAAACCTATACTGTTGTCAGTAAAATCTTCCTACCAAACCAGGAGTCAACTACTTTCTGATGCCAGGGTTCTGACACCTCACCGGCACACAGAACTTAGGGAAACACTTTGCTATTGCCAGATTATTATAAAGGATATAGTGAAGACAACAAATGAACAGTCAGATGAAGAGGTACCTAGGGGGCGGTCGGGAAGGATCCTGAACACAGGAGCTTGTGTCCCTGTGGAGTCTGGGGTGCACCACCCTCCTGGCACATGGATATATTCAACCTGGAAGCTCTCCAGACCCCGTCATCTAGAGTGGTTATGGAGGCTCCGCTACGTAGGCATGCTTGATTAAATCATTGGCCATTTGTGACTGAACTCAATGGCCACCTTCTCTCTTCCCTCCCCAGAGGTCTGGGAGTGGGACTGAAAGTTCCAACCCTCTAATCACATGGTGGGTTCCTCTGGCAACCAGCCCCATCCTCTAAAGTGGACTCAGGTGTGGTGGACTCAGGTGTGGTTGAAATGCTTATTATGAAGAACAAAAGACACTCCTCTCACCCCATCACTTGGAAAATTCCAAGGGTTTTAGAAGCTCTGTGCCAGGAATTGGAGTTAGAACAAATACATATTTCTCATTATATCACAGTTACAAAACTCTATCATTATGTATTTTTGGTAGTCTATAAAAGTACAGTTTTTAAAGTCCTCTCATTATCATTTATTCAACAAATATTTATTGAGAATCTAGATTATTCCATTTGAGTCTCACAGTAACCTGTAGGTCGGTAGGAGTGGTATTAAGTTCATTATACAGAAGAGACATCCTAGATTCCACAAAATGAGGCAGAAAATTAGGCAGCATCTGCTAAGAAAATTCTGAAGGCCACCATCTAATCATCCTTCAGAAGTTGGGCTGACAAGGGTTCAGAGCTTCCAAATCTGGCACAGAAAGACACAGCCTTGATGTGCCATTTCTCAGCTGATTCTGAATTTTAGCAATAATGCCCTACAAGAAGAGATGGCTGGAGCCAGTTGTAATTTACCTGCTGTCAAATGATTCTGTCCTTCATAAAATGCTAATTATTTGGAAGACTGTTTCTCTTTGAATATTGTAGATATAGATTTTCAGGGTACCTTTCCTATATAATTGTCATTATTTTTTAAATGTTGACATACCTAGCACACTTTTGGAAATAGGCATTTTTAAAAGATTTTATTTTTTTTAGAGCAGTTTTATGTTTACAGCAAAATTGAGTAGAAGGTACACAGATTTCCCATATCCCCACCCCTGCCCTGCATATGCACTGCCTCCCCCCTTATCAACATTCCCCAGAGGGTACATTTGTTACCTTATCACCCAAAGTCCACAACTTACCTTAGTCCCAAGTGCTGGGATTCTATGTGTTCACTCTTTATGGTGTACATTCTATGTGTTTGGACAAATTTATAACTACATAGAACTCATTATGCTATAATACAGAGTATTTTCACTGCCTTAAAAATCCTCCGTGCTCCACCTATTCATCTCCCTCCTCCCCAACCCCTGGCAAACCGCTGATCTTTTTAGAGTCCCCATCGTTCGGCCTGGGCATGTTTTTAAAGTAATGAAGCATTTCACCATTGAGTGTCCGGAAAAAAAAAGGAAAGAGAAGGCTACTTATACTAGATATCGAATTATGGTTGTATGTTTGGCATGAATAATTTTTAATTGAAAATAATCACAATGTTTGTCTAAATCCTAGCGCTCAAAGAAACAACCAGATCTGGTTTTGAAACCAAGACTGCCCTGTTGGTGATGAGGAAGTCAACTGCGCAGCCTCAGTCGCCCGTGGAGGCCCCGGGCTGGCGGCCGTGACGTTGCTGCCACCTCGTGCATATTATCGGTAGTGCAGCCAGCGAGGAGGCCTCAGCCACGCCGAGGTAGCAAGCGCTGGCCAGCTCACTTTGATGGTCTTCAGCTTAGCTCACGTATTGCCTAGGAACACCAGGGGCCTGTGCAGTTTATTATGTGTTTGTGGTGTTTATTAATCCACAGAAATATTGTTTTTGATAGACAACCTAAGATAAAGGCTAATAAAAGACTGAGAATGTGGACTCGATAATTTTGTTGGCTTCAGGATAAAGAAAAAAAGTCAGTAAATGGTACCTGAATCCTCCAATAATTACTCCATCTTATAAATTACTGTTTTCTCTTATTCCAGCCCACAGTCTGTCATTCTAGAAAGTATGATATATTAATTTTTAGCTAAGCAATATCCACAGGGAGTAATCAGAGTTGGCACTGTACAGGTGTTTTTCCAATGAAAAGGTTACTGTTGGAATTATTTATAAGCAACATCAGAACACTGAATATTAACAAACTGAATTTCACCTGGTTATTAAGTAGCAGGAGATACATATGCACCAAATCATCCCGCTTTGACCTTGAATGGTTGTATGTTTATCCAAGAAAGAAGCTCCCCCATCTTCAATGTGCTATTAACCTTCCTTTTTGTCCTTTTTCATTTCTTCCCTTTTAAATTTTATTGTAATGAAATAGTTAAGTCCTACACAAAGGTGTAAACCTATGATACTGATTCTACTTGACTCTGCCACTCAGCTTGGGAAACGCATTACCATCCAAACAGGTGAAGCCTTTGTGCCCCCTCAGCTGTATTCCCTTCCTTCTCTTTACAGTTTCCACTTCTCTAAATTTGGTGTTCATCATTCCCATTTGTTTCATTACGCTTTTGCCGATACATATGTGTTCCTAAACGGTACAATGTACGGGTTTCACGTTTCTGAAACGCTGTTGAGATGGTATCCGTGTTTTCTGTAACTTGGATTTTTTTCTTTCAGTATTAGGATTGTGAGACCCATCCATCATATTAATTTCCCAGAATTGTCGTAGCAAACAACCACAAACTGGGTGACTTAATAAAACGAAAATTTATTCTCTCAGAGTTCTGGAGGCCAGAACTCTGAAATCAAGAGGTGGGCTGGGCTGGGCTCTCTCTGGGGCTCTAAGAGAGAATGTGTTCCTTCCTTCTTCCAGCTTCTGGTGGCCCAAGGCATTCCTTGGCTTGTGAATCTCTGTTTCTGTCTTCACATGGCCTCCTGCTCTCTGTTGTGTCTTCCTGTCTTAGAAGGACACTTGTCATTGGATTTAGGGCCCACCTGATCCAGAATGATCTCACCTTGAGGTCCTTAATTACATCTGCCAAGCCCCCAGGCAATACATGGTGGAGGTAGGTGTCCAACCCATGCATTTTGACCAACTCCTCCAACCACTGGATGACATCGCCTCTAAGCTCAGAAAGCTGCAACTTCTGCTTACACAAATAATGGGCATTTAATGTGGCACTGGATCCAATACTCAGCTTATATAGGTGAGAACTAACTAGTATTGGAGGGTTACAGGGCAAGGAATTGGGCATAGGTTGGGAAGGCAGGCAATCTGGGTCCTAGAGTTAATTCTCTGTTGATCCCTAAGCTCCAAGAAATAGGATACTGCTTCATCCCTGCTCCTCTTCCAAGCCACTTCACCCGATTTAACAGGAAGGGAGGTCAGTGAAAAGAACTAACTGGGTATGGACTGGAAATGCACAATAAAAAAATTTTAAAATATATGCATTTCTTTGGATTACTAAAGTAAAAATATTATAGAAAATTTGGGTAATGGAAGAAAAAATCATCCCCACCCACTCCTCTAATCCCTCTACTTCTCTTCTATACACACTTAAAGTTGTAATCATTTGATTTTAGCGTTATAACTATGGAGACAAAAGTGGATCCCTCTTAGATGCTAACCTGTCCGGTTGATTTCTGATTAGCTCCAGTCCCGTGAATGCCTCCTGCTTCCTACTTTATTTGCTGTCCTTAGTCTAAGAACATGTCAACTTTGATGTTATCACACAAATTATAGGACATGACGCACAGCCTTCTTGCCTGTTCAATAACAGTGCAGAGATCTACCTGTCTTGCTGCTGCCCAAGACCACGCTTCTGTCTGTAAGTTCCCCAATAAAATACCCTTTACTGACACACTGGATTTGTTGGCCACCTTCTTTGGTTTCTTGGCTCTTCAGCATTTGGGAGCAGCTTTGCATATATGGCCATTTCACAGAACAATAGCCTACGATATATTACCATTTTTCTTCTTGCTACATGGCTTTCACAGTTGATTTTCTAAAATAAGACAAGTACTGATATACAACATGGTGACTGAGACAGCCAAGGAGTGCGCACTGGGGTGGAGCCTCCGGAATTTCGCCCCATTTGCAGGCAGAGAGGAGCTGGCCTCTCCGGTTCCAGGGTGGAACCTGGAATTCAATCTGTGATTCTGGAAAACCAGCTAGCAGGACTCTCACTCTGCCGAGAGTCCGTTTCCCTTTTTTTTTTTCCTTTTTGCCTAATAAATTCCATTTTTCTCATCCTCCAAATTGTCTGTGAACCTAATCTCTCATGGCCATGTGACAAGAACTAGGCTTTCAGCTGAACTAAGGAGAAAGTCCTATAACTCTAGTTAATGATATGGTATTGTGTACTTAAAACTTGCTAAGACAGTAGATCTTACGTGTTCTCACTAAACACACACACAAGTGGTAGGCTTTGTAGGTGATGAATGTGTTAACTAACTTGATTGTGGTAATCATTTCACAATGTATAGTATATTGGTCATCACACTGTACTCCTTAAATATATATAATTTTGGCCAGGCATGGTGGCACACATCTGTAACCCCAGCACTTTGGGAGGCTGAGGCAGGAGGATTGTTTGCACCCAGGAAGTCAAGGCTGTAGTGAGCTATGGTTGTGCCACTTCACTCCACCCTGGGCAACAGATCAAGACCCTATTTCAAAAAAAAAGAAAGAAGAAAGAAAGAAAAAAAAGAAAGAAAGAAAGAGAGAGAGAAAGAAAGAGAAAAAGAATATATATATATATAGTTTTATATGTCAATTATGCCTCAATAAAGCTGGAAAAATAAAATGACAGGTATTCTAATCTTTACTTTACAGCTACAGAAACTAAAGCTCAGGAGACTGACTTGCTGAAGGTCCCACAATTAGTAAGTGATAAAGCTGGGGACCATGAAGCCATTGTAATTCAGAATGTATAAAATGTTGCAACTGCTGCAAGATTGTATTTCAATATGTGGATTTTTTTTCTTTCTTTCTTTGGAGACAGGGTCTTGCTCTGTTACCTAGGCTGGAGTGCAGTAGCATGATCATGGCTCACTGCAACCTCAACCACCTCGGCTCAGCAATCCTCCCACCTCAACCTCCCAAGTGGCTGGAACCACAGGTATGTGCCACTGCACCCTGCTAATTTTTTAATTTTTATAGAGATGGGATCTCACTGTGTTGCTGAGGCTGGTCTTGGTCTCAAACGATCCCATCTCAGTTTCCTGAAGTGCTGGGATTATAGGTATCAGCCACTGTACCTGACCGATAATGTGGATATTCTGAGTAGGCATTTGCATATCAATATCTGGTTACCTGTTGCTGCATAACAAATCACTCTAAACTTTGTTCCTTAACATAATGACTGCATTTATTTTGCTCATTAATTTGTAATTTGGGCAGGGCTTGAGAAGGACAGTTTGTCTTTGCTTCTCTTGGCATCAGCAGGGGTGATTTGAGGCTGGTGGCTGGAATCATCTGAAATCTCACAGGTCAGCTAGTTGGTGCTGGGAGCTCAGCAGGGCCTATGGCCACAGCCCCTCCACTTGACCTTTCCATGGGGCTCCTTGGCTTTTTCACACAGTGCTGGCTGGGTTCCGAAGGTAAACATCCCCAGAGAGAAGAGAAGAAGGCAAAAGCTGTGTCCCCTTTGGTGACCTCCTCGGAGAAATCTTACAGATTCACTTCTGCCATATTTTATGGGTTAAAAGTTAGTTGCTGAGGCCAGCCACGATTCAAGGGAAGGGGAATTAGGCTCTACCTTCTGCTGAGAAGAATATCATAGAATTTGTGGACATATTTTAAAATCATCACAATTTGCCCGTTGGACATACATTACCTACATTTTCCCCTACATGCAAAGTAGACTCACTCCCCTGCCCTAAACCCCTTAAACATTGTATCTCCTGTAGCATCAGGCTGGGGCTCAAGGTCCATGATCTTGACATATAAATCAGGTGCAGGAGTGGCTGAGGCTCCTTGGGTGCTGTTCCTGGAGTAGAGCCCCTGCAGTGCAGTTCCTCTCCACCTGAAGACTTGGGAATCAAAGGACAAGCTGCCTCTCTGCTCACTGCACCCAATATATTGTACAATAGTGGAGCAAGCACAGGATAATCGCTGCAGACGCTTCTGTTCAAAAAGGG